>NT_187610.1:0-134193 GCF_000001405.40 Homo sapiens | reverse complement strand
AGCCACCTTTTCAGGAGGGGCAGGAACTCCAGAAAGCTCCAAAACTTATTGCCTTTCTCATTACAGGGGACAGGGAGGTGGGGGGTAGGGAGTGGGGATCAGGCAGGGGCAGAAGGTGTAAGAGGTTCAACCTGCCTGGGGGACTTCACTTACAAAGGGCAGAGGCTGGGTGTGGTGGCGCCCACCTGTAGTCCCAGTATTTGGGAGGCTGAGGCAGGAAGATCACTTGAGCCCAGGAGTTTGAGGCTGCAGCGAGCTATGATTGCAACTGCACTCCAGCGTGGGCAACAGAGCACGACCCTGGCTCAAAAAAATAAAACTTAAAAAATGTTAAAATAAAGGGCAACTTTTTGAAGAGAAGTGAGGGGAAGGCCATGAGGAGGAACTCCCTCATTAGCGGAGCAAGCTCCTTCCACAGAGGAGCAGACGCTGCAGTCACTGTGACATTTAAAAAGCAGCGATGGCCCTGCGTCCTCCTGACATCCCGTCTAGGACCGCCAGGGAGGCGGGGATGGCAACCCTTGAAGCTTCCCTTTGACCTCAGGGAATCTGACAAATCGTTGTATCTGGAGGCCAGGATGGCGAGGCTGATGCCCATGACCCGACGGGACTCATGGGTCCACCCTGGTGCCCTGGATGAGTTCTGGGGAGGGCGGCCACACTGCTGGCTTCCCATGCAGCACTCAGGCAGGCCCCTCAGAGTGTGCAAAGCAACAGCCTGACGCAGCTCATCTTGGGGGGCCCACGGGGTCCCTGCCCTGGGCTAGGATGCCCCCATCCTCCCACAGACCCCATTCCGTGCACCCTGTGGGCCCAGCAGCAGCCCCTGTCCTAGTGGTACAATGTGGCTGTCCACAGACTCCACGCCCAGACACCTCCCTGGGCCACGCACCGGGAGGTCTCCACCCAGCTGTGTGTGACCCACATAGTGACAGGGTGTGGCTGAACGGGTCTAGGTCCAGCCCCAACCCACAGCCTCCCTGCAGCGAGACACACATGCAAAGATCACAGGCCAGCAAGCCTGTTCTCTCAGACTCAGAAACAGGCCGAGCTCAGGTGTGGCCGTGTCCACGCCACAGGGGCTGCTGTGCTACTTTCCTGGAGCACGCAGGAGTCCCCCTGGGCTGCCAGAACCCAGGTATTCAGAACTGCCTGTGGTGAGGGCCAACCCCAGGTGCTCACTGACCGCCTGCTCTGCGCACGGCTGCATAGCGCTAGACACTAGGCCTACCAAGAAACAGAAACGGACCCTGCCCTCGGCGCCACATCCAGCAGGGAGACAGGGCGGTCCCAAGTGTAAGTGCTGCAGGCAGATCCCACAGTGGGGAGCCAGGGACCAGCTACAGGGTCACATGAGAACCGCACAGACCTCAGCGTTCTCTCCAGCGTGGGGCATGAGAGGCCAGTGGCTCCACACAGCTGAGGCACAGCCTGGTGGTGAGAAAACCCACATCCACACCGAGTGGGTACGAGGGATGCGGAAGGGCTTTAGGCAGAGAACAAGTCCCACTGGGCTTCTGGGCACTCCTGCTGTGCCAGGGGTCAGAGGGCAGGACCAGAGGGACAGAGCAGGAAAACAGGAGAGCAAAGCGCACGAGGCAGCCCCCGGGTTGGGGGCCTCCTTCTTCTGTGTCTTATGAGGAAACCACCCAAGCCCACCCTCCGTGTCTCCTGTCATTTCAGCCTCACGGTCCAGGGCCGAGTGGCCACCCAGGACAGACACAGACCTGACAAGTCACCAGCCTTCCTGGGTTTCTGTCACTGTTTTTCAAAGACCCCAAGCTGTTTTGTTTAATGATGTCGTCCTCCTTCTCAGCACCTGTCCACGCCTGTTGCCATGAGTAGAGGCATCACACCGCGGGCCAGAGGGCTGGACCAGGGGCAACTCGGCCACCAACGGCCGAGTTCTTCACTGAGCGGCTCAGGCCCATGAACAACACCTGTGGTTCCGGAGGATTTTCCGGGCAGCAGAATCCTTCCCTCCAATTGCCTCGTGTGAACTGGTGGAACCAGCAGGAGGGAGAGACCAGGCGCTCAGCCTCCCTCGGCCCCTCCCCTGCCATGAACAGCTGTCTCCAGCTTCGGTTCCTCACCTGTGGCACTGGGGTTACCGGAGTGCTGCCCAAGGCCAGGGCAAGAAGCAAGTGAGGGGTGCCCGGAGAGAGAGCCAGCAGGGCTTGAGGCTGTCACACAGATGCAGCATTACAGGGGACCAGCCACTTCCTGCTCTCAGAGACCACGGTCTGTGGAGGCCCAGACAAGAGGCCCTGCGCAGTTATGCAGTTACTGAGCCTCGGGCTCTCCTGGGGACTCAGAGGTCACTGGCTCCTCTGCCAATCAAGGAGCTCTGGAGAGCCTCAGACACAGACAGAAGCAGGAAAAAGAGGGGTGCTCCTCCCGCAAGCAGAAGGACCTCGGAGGAGGCAAGGCACACCCAACCCAAGGCCAGGCCAAGCTGGTTTCCTGCAGGACCTGCCTCCCCCAGACAGGCCAGAAAAACAATTTCTCTTGCCCCACTTCACAGTTGAGAAGTCACTCAGAACCGGAAGGGAGAATCACCCCTATATCCTTGCCCAGCCCCAGACTCTGGAAACGCGGAGGCAATTACGGGGCACTCCCACACTGAACTGTGACTCACGTTTCCGCACCCCTCAGACCTGGGCAGAGGAAGAGATCCGGGTTTCCCGAAGGAGAAGCACACAACTCTTCAGCACCCAACGGAGTCCCAGTCTTCCCCACTGGCCCCACACACCCAGGCCTGGCCTCAGGTTCTGGGCCTCACCATTGCTTTCCGGGTCTTGTTACCTGCAGTCCGGTAACAAACTCCAGAGCAGTAAGGGGGCCCCGAGAGCTCGCCCGGCCAGGGCCAGCTGACCACACAAGAGTTCCCCCGGTCAGGACTAGAGGGGCCCCTTCTGCAGCCAGCGGGAGGACAGCAGATTTGCAACTTCCCAGCTGGTGCCGCAGCAGCCCCAGAGGAACACGGAAGAGAACACTGGCATGGCTGGCACAGACGGGGCTCCCGCCAGCCCCTCCACGCCAGGTGGCCGCCCCCAGGCCGTTCCCCAAGTGAGGGGAGTGATGCCCGCACCAAGCACAACATCCCTAAGGCGGCCAGGACCGCACGATGGGCCCGGATATAAGGGCACTCAAGGGCAGGCAGGGCCGAGGCCGCCTCCGGTGTGCGCGGCCCCCGGGGCTGGCCTCAAGTGACCCACATGGCCCAGGTCCCTGCCGACTTCCCGCCTTCCTCTGGGTTCCTCTGCGAAGCATCGCCCAGCCCTGGCCCCCACCAGCCTGGAGGCGCCAGCGGGCGGCGGGCTGACCCCACTCCGGGGGCCCTGCCGTCCCTGCCCTGGCTCGGAGCCCGGCGCGCCCGGCCCCCGAGGCCTCCTGCGCCCCGCCGAGCCCGCGCTCCCCGCCGCCCTCCGGGCCCGCGCTCCCCGCCCGGGGTCCCCGGCTGGGCGCCCGGCCGGGCCCGGCCGACGGGACTCACCTCCACAGCCCGGCGGCGCCGCCTCGTCCTCGCGGCCCGGGCAGCGCGGCCCCGGCCCCCGGGCCCGCTCGCCCCCGCCGGCCGATCCACAACTTCTGCCTCCGGAGAGCGGCGGGGCCCCTCTCGCCGCCGGCCGCGCTGCCCGGACGGCCTCCCGCTCCTCAGCCGCGGGGCGCCCCGACCCGGCTCCGGCCCCGGCCCCTGCCCGCGTCCGGCGCCCGCCTTACGCTGCCTTCGTAGCGTAGCGCCCGGCCCGGGCCCCGCGGCTACGGCGCGCCCGGGGCGCACGCGGCGCTGTGAATCGCGCGCCCGGACTACGGCTCCCACAGGGCTGCGCGGCGCCGACGGGGCGGAAGCTCGGGGCGGTGCCTGCGCGAGGCAGGCCGGGAGTTGTAGTCCTCGGGTGGCGCCCTCCCAGTCCGCCGACCGCCCGGGCCACTTCTCCTGCCCTCGCTGCTGGAGACGGCCGGGCCCGAGGCCTCGGTCCCCGGGAGGCGCCGCGCTCCAGGATTATCAGGGAGTGGGGCGGCCCGAGGAGGAGCTGGAACTACAACTCCCAGAGGGCCTTGCGAGGGGCACGGAGGGGCGGGGCCTGCAGCCGCGGCGTCTGCGCATCAGCGGCGTCACAGACGCGTGGGGCTCGCGGGGAGCCGGGCTGGGGCCGTCCGTGTCCCGCGGGGCTCTGGGCGGCCGCTCGACCGAGGACCCACGACTCCGCCCCGACCCCGCCGTGTTCGCGAGACCCGGAGACCCCTTCGCGCCTTCCAGGACCGCCCCTTTCGCGACGCTGCGTGCTGTGCTTGGTCCTGGCGGCCAAGAGCGGCGGTGGCAAGGGGACCGCCCTGGCCCGAGACGCGGCCTGGCCTCGCAGCGTCGCTTGGGCACAGCCTCTCTAGGCCCCTTCGTCCTCGGTCGCGGAGGGACGCCATTAAACGGCCACGCCGGGCTCAACTGGGACGCGGCCCACGGCGCCCAACCAGGGCCTGGGGGAGGGAAGCCGGGGCGACTCCTGGGTCCTTCCAGGACCCTTGCGCAGGCCTCATTCTCTCCCCGGAGGTCCCCTTCCCGCTGCCCTGAGGCCACTCTCCTGCCAGCAGCTGCTGGGCCGGCTCTCGGGAGAATGCCTTGGCGTCAAGCTTATCAGGCTGCAGGGCGGGACGCGAGTGCTGAGGGCAGCCAGACTCCCGCTCTTAGGTGCACTTGAGGAGCCTGAGAAGGCAGTGGCTCTGCGGGAGAGGGAGACACAGGAGCAGGGCTGGTCCGCCGAGATTCCGGAGAGACGGTTGTGGGCCGATTCTGTGGCGAGATTTACAAGTGGGAGGTTGGGTGACGATTGCTCCTGGGCCAGAAAATCTAAGCCAGTCTCAGCAAGACCTACAAGGCCAGGGCCAGTGCTCCTCAGAGGATATTCATGCTCCAGGAAAGCCAAGGATGGGCCTCCGTCATGCTGAGATGCCGCAGCAGGGACACCTGTGTCCCACGTGGAGCTCGGCTTCTAGCTGCAGTCAGTGCAGAAGCTGGCAGGAGGGGTTTATTTCTGTCCTCGGAAGCTTTTGGTAAGGACACTTCATTCCTGTGTCTTGGACACCTCCCCCTAGGTCTGCTGCCCCCTCTGTGGAGACAGGCAGGGCAGCTGGATGTGCCGTTTGTTCCCAGACTATATCCATGCCAAAGCATCCCAAGGGCAGGAAATGTGTCCCCGGGGGCCAGTGGGGGTCTGGGGGCACAGAGGGCTGCAGAGTGAGAGCTGGCTCTCCTCTCTGCAACTTGGACAAGGCTCTGGGACCCTGTCCTCCCCAGCTTCCTCACCTGCATGGCAGGATACTGGCCAAGTGTGGCTTTCGAACCACAGGAGAGGGTGCAGTCAAGGCCTCACTCAGGGACCGCAGGTTCTCTTCCCTTCCCAGTCCTTCCCTGGCACTGCCTAGGTGGCTCCCTGGCCAGGGGCCAGTGGTCTAGCCAGCAGGCCTTATAACCTCCCCACCAGAGAGGCAGCTGCAGTTGAACCTGTTGATCTGATGCTGAGGGCCCTGCCAGCTCACTGCAGAGTGGCCAGTTCTGGCCAGTTTTGCTAGGCCAGGCCCATTTGGGGTGAGGAGAGGGTGGGAGCACCCCAGCTCTCCCCAGTAGCCTGTCATGGTGAAGGAGGAAGCCCATTCACCCAGAAGAGGGCCTCAGGAGGCGTCTTCAAGGTGACTGAGGTTTCCCCGCACAAGGAGAGTGCTGGAGGGAATGGGTGCGATGAGAGAAATGAGTCACTCGTGCCTCCGTGAGGCCAGCCTGTGATTGTCTTGAAGATTCTGAGTCACAAGACATCAGGCACACAGGCGTGAATTGTAAATGACTGCACAGCAGAAGGTAAGTGACTCTGGATTATCCAGACCATTGACCGAGCCCTGCTCCGTGCCAGTGCTTCCTGGCCTGAGGACACGACTCTCACATCCAGACAGACCTGAGCAGCTAACGCAAGTGCGCAGAAGCTCGCCAAGTGCCCAGAAGAGCCAAGAGGCGAGCCATGAATCCCCCCTGGAGGAGAAGAGGATGGGGAGGGCCAAACAGAAAGAACTGAAACTGGAGGCATCTGTTCAGGCACCCAGAGAAAGCCTCACGCGCACAAAGCAGCAAACAGAACAAACCCCAGTGCCATCATGGAGCCCAGACTTGAGCACACAGGGACCCTGGCGTGGAGCACGAGGGTGCCAAGGCCCGCAGGTGGCTGACTTGTGTGCTCTGGTGCCATGCTCAGATTTGATGGGATGACCCTGCAATTGCCTGCTTTGTGAGCCACACAGGCCTGGGTCAAAAAGACGACGGACCACCAGCCTGGGCAACACACAAAGCGAAACCTGTCTCCACTTAAAAGATAATTAGGGTGTGGTGGTGTGTGCTTGTGGTCCCTGCTACTTGGGAGGCAGAGGCAGGAGCATCACTTGAGCCCGGGAGGTTGAGGCTGCAGTGAGCTGGGATGGCACATGGCGCTCCAGCCTGGGTGACTGAGTCCGTCTCAAAAAAAGAATGGGCGGCCGGACAGGTGAAAATAACAATGGACGGGGCCCTGGGAGAAGTTCCCGCCTTTCTCTGGGCCACCACCTCCAGGTTACTGGACTGCCAGCAGGTAGAGGGGCCAGGGTGCCATCCGGGGGGCCGCTGAGGGGGTCCAGACTTCCTATACCTGCCCTTCAGCAGAGGCAGGCTGGGGCGGTCCTCATGTGAGGGGCTCTGCACCCACATCCGGGGGGCCGCTGAGGGGGTCCAGCCTTCCTATACCTGCCCTTCAGCAGAGGCAGGATGGGGCGGTCCTCATGTGAGGGGCTCTGCACCCACGTCCGGGGCTCTTGTTCCAGGGCAGGGGCAGAGCCGCTCCTCTCTATCCTGCCGGGCAAGACTCCTTGGTGCTCTTCCATCGGGCAGAACTGACCAAGACTCAGAACATTCAATGTCAGGAGCCAGCTGGGGACAGGATCTGCCTTGGGAGACTTGGCAGGCCCAGTGACCATCCCACTGCACAGCTGGGGGTGGGGGCGACACTCCAGAGGGACACGTTCGGGCCTCCTGGGGGGTGCAGGCTTCTGGGCACGTCCACCAGGCATGCACACCGGCCACCCCACCCTGCTCTCGCTCACCCACAAGGTCTCTGGCAGCCCTTCCGGGAATGTTTCCATTTCATCCTGTGTCCTCCTGTCTCAAACTCCTTTGGGCTGGAGACCCCAGTGGGTCATCGAGGTGGGGCCAGCTGGACTGTGGACAGCCCCATGTTTAAAATCTAGCGTGGAAACTGAGGTGCTCCTAGACCACAGTGGGGTATCAGGAGGAGGAAGCTGCTCCCCTTCCCCTCCCTGGCTCTGGCCTGGCAGCGTGGAGTGAGTTCCCCTCCCCACCTCCAGCTTCTCCCTCTAGGCAGAGATGGGTCTTACTGGCACCACACAGACCCCTGGGTAGGTGGGAGAGCAGGTCTTTTTCCTGGGAGGAGGAACTTGGCCTTGGACACACCCACACCGCCCATGTCACTCCTCAGTTCTTTTTTTTTTTGAGACGGAGTCTCGCTCTGTTGCCCAGGCTGGAGTGCGGTGGCGTGATCGCTGCTCACTGCAAGCTCCACCTCCCAGGTTCACGCCATTCTCATGCCTCAGCCTCCCAAGTAGCTGGGACTACAGGTGCCGGCCACCACGCCCGGCTAATTTTTTTGTATTTTTAGTAGAGACGTGGTTTCACCATGTTAGCCAGGATGGTCTCGATTTCCTGACCTTGTGATCCGCCTGCCTGGGCCTCCCAAAGTGCTGGGATTACAGGCGTGAGCCACCGCGCCCGGCCTGTCACTCCTCAGTTCTAACTCATGAAGCAATCAGGGTTCTTGGGCCCTGTGACCTGGAACCATTCTGCTGCACCTGCACTGAGGGTTCAAGGACTCCTCACTGTAGGCCACGCCTGGTCCTCTTCTGGTCACCAGCCCGCAAGCAGCAGCTGGGCTGAGGGGACTGGCAGACCTGGGTCCTCAGCTTCCCTGGGCCTTGGTTTCTCCATCTCCATCTGCATCTGAGAGTGACAGGCAGGCGGGCATCTCGCGCGGGGGGCGGGAGAGCGAGAGCCGCAGATGCACAGTCCGCTTCCTGGATGCTGGACCAGGTGGTCCAGTTTTCAAGGCTTGTGTTTTTGGGGGACTCTTGATCAGATGGGACCACTCCCCGCAGGCCATTCTTTGTGGCTGCAGTGGCACTGAGCTCTCTCAGACTCCCTGGCTGCCCATGACCTCGGGAGCCCACTTCCGTCGGGACCTGCCTCCTCACCTTCCCGTGCCTGTGGTGCTGGTACTGTGTCTGCCCCCTCTTCTGGGGGATGTCCTCCCACCACCCTGCACATCACTGCCCTTTTAAATTCTTTCTGAAATGGGGTCTCGCTGTCGCCCAGGCTGGAGTGCAGCGGTGTGATCACAGCTCACTGTAACCTCCGTCTCCTGGACTCAAGCAATTCTCCCACCTCAGCCTCCCAAGGAACTGGGACTATAGGTGCGCACCACAATGCCTGGTTAATTTTTTATTTTTTAGAGATGGGGCCTTGCTATGTTGCCCAGGCTGGTCTTGAACTCCCGGGTTCAAGCGATCCTCCTGCCTTGGCCTCCCAAAGTGCTGAGATTATGGCGTGAGCCTCTGCGCCCTGCCCCCCACTCTTCTCTTAATCCCGGGGACGTTTTGACGGCTCTCCCGACATGGGACGTACGTCCCCAGAGGCGTGTGACCCAGAGCCCTGATGCCCACACAGCCCTGTGCTGCCCAATTTGCCCCGCCCCACCTGCCCCACCTTGATGCTGTCTCAGCAGCTCGTCAGGATCCAGAACCTGGCTGGAAAGCTGCCAGGCTCCACTGGGCCTGGAGGTGCAATCCTACGGCCTTGGAAGGGTCTTAGTCTGACCAAGCTGCAGAGCCAGGCAGGTCTGCTGGGTTCTGAGCTCAGACAACTGATGGCCTCGGACGCCTTGAGGGAAGCTGGGCCAGGCCCAGAAGACTCCCACCCCACCCTGTGGCCCCCCTGGAGGAAGAAGCCGGCCTCTGCGTGTGCAGTAACAGCTTTAATCTGTGGTGGCCCCTGCCCTCCTGCATCCAGGCAGGAAGAGCCGTTTCTCGGGGAATTAAAGCAGGAGCGTTTCCCACACTGTCTCCTGGGAGTCCATGCTTACAGTGACAGCACTGCTGAGTGGTGCCATGTCACCAGGGCTGGGCCTGGGCACAGAGAGGCAGGGTGCCAGTCTTTATATATTATACATATATATATATATATATATATATATATTTCATGTGTATACACAGTTTTCTCTTGAAAGTATTAAAAAATTGATCAACCTTCAATCTATAAAAAATACCTACTCTACATGATAGAAAAATCTCTCCTCCAAGTTTACACTGATTTACACCCAAGGCTTTCCCCAAATGTACAATAGGAGGCGACCTCTTACATCCTAGCGTGGAAGGCGGCGGATGTGGGGCCACACGTACACGCGCGCGCACACACACGCAGCGGGTGGCCAGTCTTGGTGATGGGGTCTGGGCCCACCCGGGAATGCTGGGGGTTGGGGCAGGCCCGCGGTCCTGCGGGGTGACACCGCTGTGCCTGGGGTGCAGACCCCGAGAAGCACAGGCCCCCTCCTGCTCTGCTGTGAGTCTTCCCTGCCCTCTCCCTCCTGCAACATGCACCCTCGGGGAAGAACCACGATTTCTAAGTGAGACACACCCAGAAGAAAACAGGGTTCCCGATGTTTGGATTCTGGCCTGGGAAGTGCGTGGGGAGGGTGTGGCCTTTAGGAGGCCGGGCCAGGCCGCACCTGTGGAGAAGCAGCACCTGGGAGCCAGAGGGGCCTGTGGCATCCACCCTGCCCAGGGAGAGAGCGCCACACAGCGGTCATCTCAGGTCCTGATGTCGGAGTGGAGGCCCCAGAGGCTCCTGCCCGGCCCCCATAGGTGGTCAGAGCCCCCAGGGGTTACTGCAGCGAGGACTGGGCCGTGGGAACAGCCACATGGCCTGGAGGCCCCAGAGCTGGACTGAGGTGACCACATCTGGCTGGGCAATGGCCCGAGCAGCGTAGGGAGAGCTGGGGAACGCACCAGCCTTGCCCACCCGTCCTTCCCCCACCACCATGTCCGAGGTGAGGGTCTGGGAGCCCGTCAGCCATCAGGAGCGGCTCAACATGGGTGACACGGCACCAGCGTACTTATGTGGGTGGCTTAGGCAGCAGCACCCCTGGAGGGACCTGTTTTCTTCCTTTCTTCCCAACAGGGCTGCACGTGGGAAGAGGGACCACCACAAGGAGGCCACAGCAGGGCTCACCCCACACCGCTGCACAGAGAGGCTCTCCAGCCCATCCTGCTGAACTGAAGTGTACGCGTTCATGGCCAGCTTGACTCAGGGCTGGGAAGCTCTGGGCCCCCGGAAGGTCAGCGCTGATGGACGGCCCTGCCACAACCCTCATCCTCTGTGGACCCCGGGCCCTGGGACTTCCCTTTCTCCCTCTCCTCTCCACCACCCTCTGCCCCTTTGGCAGCCCCGGTCTTTGGCGGCCCCAGCTCAGCTGCACGAGGGTTCCCTGCATGCTCTGGGCACTGTCGGCTGTGGGACCTGCTGGTCTTGGCTCCTCATGGTCTGACGGAACCACTCCAGGGTGTTGGAGTCCCGAATCCAGCTCAGGCTGGACCTTCCTGCCTCTACTTGACCTCCAGGATGGACGGGTTGGTCTCCATGATGGCCACGATGATCCTGTCGATGTAGTCCTGCAGGCGGAAGTTGATCTCCTCCTGCTTCTGAATCGCCTCCATGAGCTGTAGGGCAAGCAGGTGGTCAGAGCTGAGGCGCATGGGCCACAGGCCACAGCGCATAAACCACAGCGCACAGACAGTGCAGACTGTGGACCCCAGGCCACACCGTGCAGACACGGGATGTGTTACCTCATCTCGGGAGACGGAGCTGATCTCTGCAGCCAGGGACTCAGAGAAGGCTGTGGAGAAGAGGCTCTTGGCGCCCTGGATGCTGAGGGTAATGATCTGCCCGTTCAGCTCCTCGTTCTGCTCCTTCAGGTTGCGGTTGTCCTGAAGGCACAGCAACATCACTACTGGGCTGTGGCCCCTGCTGGTGGCTGAGCAGGGACAAGGACTGCCCGGGGAAAAAGGCCTCCAGCTCAGATGCTGACCCTCCACGGCCCCCCCTTCCCAACCAGTCTTGTGGAAGCTTCTGCAGGAGTGTGAGGGAGGGAGGCCCAGGCCTGCCCACCTGCTTCAGCCTGCGGACCTCCTGCTCCAGCTCGCTCTCCCGGGCGCGGCTGTGGTACTCCTGCAGGCCCATGCTGCTGCTGCGGCCCCGCCGCTGCTCGGCCTCCAGCTTGAGGAGCTGCAGGTGCTCCAGCTGCTTTCGGAGGTCCTCGATCAGCTGCAGGGCAACCGTGCAGTGAGCCGGGGGGCCTGGGCTCCCAGGGGCCACCGTCAGCCATCACTTGGCTGTAGAACCTCAGGGTTGATCTGGCCGTCTCTCGGGAGGACGACACACACCAGCGGCTATGCCCAAAGCAGCACAGCCAAGAGCTAGCGTCTCAGGAAACAAAGGCTCCCCGTGGGGCAGGCTGGGCGCAGGACTGGGCGTGGGGCAGGGTGGGTGCTCACCTCCTGGGTGGCCTCCTTGTCCCTCTGGAACTGGTGCCTCTCGTGACTCAGCCTGTCCCCCATTCTCCTCTTGTTCTCCTGCTCTTCACTGAGCCGCAGCGTCAGCGACTCTATCTCATCCAACAGCTTCTGCTTCTCCTGCAGGGGTGGACACCTGCCCTGGATGCGGGTCACGCACCTACCTGTGCATGCAGCTTGCCCCGGCCGTCTGTCCCTCCAATCTCTGAGTCTCCCAACAGCAACGCGGTGGCGCCCGTGCTTGGAGCGCGACAGGGCTGGGTCTGAGCCTTCCTGCCTCTCAGTGGAGGTCAAGGCCACCTGCTTCTGGGTAGAGGCGCACACGCAGGCCACGAGGGCCGTTTCTCACGAGGGGCAGGAAGGACCTTTGTGTGGACAGGACCTGACTCAGTGGCTGTGGGCACCTCCAGCCGGGCTCCTCTGGTTCATGGGAGTCAGGGCCCAAGTGCTCTGAGAATATCCTTCCTGGGAGCTTCCCAGAGCACACCTGGTGAGGTGGGGGCAGGGAGGTCTCGCAGTGACAAGCTGGGGTGTGGGAGCCCCATGTGTAGCCTCTGCCTCCACGTCGGCAGTGGTTGGGGCATAAGTGGCTGGCTGATGCCTTCCCCTTGGAGGACAATTCCCAGATTCAGAGCCCTGGGTCCATCTAGGAGTGAGCCTCTGGGCCCTGCTCCTGTGGGTGGAGCACGGTCCAGTGTCTTCCAGCGGCCTGGGCCCTGAGCTGGCCCCGTTCCCTCACACACAGCACAGTATCCCGCTCAGCACAGAGCTCAGGGCTACCTCAGCTGCCCCACAGGCAGGGCATGGGCTGGCCCCACTGGCCACAGCTCCAGGCTGTTGGCAGCTCACCTCCTCCAGACGCTCAATGTTGGCCTTCAGACAGGGCGTGCAGGACCGGAGTTCACTGTTCTCCTCGTCCAGTTGCTGTAGCCTGGGACACAAGAACAAAGCTGAAACTCACTCCAGGAAGCTCGCCTCTACAGGGCCAGTGTGCCCTGTGTCTCAGGGAAACCCTGCTGGGGCCGCCCTGTGACCAACAGACGCCCCCAAACGACCAGGGCCAATCCTTATGTGCCCACCCATGTGCTCCAGGGCACAGCTTTTCCGTAATCCTTGAAGGTTTTAGTATTATTTTTTTATTTTTTTCTTGAGGCAGAGTCGCACTCTGTCACCAGGCTGGAGTGCAGTGGTGTGATCTCAGCTCACTGCAAGCTCCATCTCCCGGGGTTCAAGCGATTCTCCTGCCTCAGCCTCCTGAGTAGCTGGGATTACAGGCGCCTGCCACCACGCCCGGCTAATTTTTGTAATTTCAGTAGAGAGGGGGTTTCGCCATGTTGGCCAGGCTGGTCTCGAACTCCTGACCTCATGATCCGCTTGCCTCAGCCTCCCAAAGTGCTGTGATTACAGGCGCGAGCCACCCCGCCGGCCATCCACGGTGGTTTTTTTAATATACTTTGGGTTTTGGAATAATTTTAGGTTTACAGAAAAGTTGAAGGCGAGTACAGTGGCTTACGCCTGTAATCCCAACACTTTGGGAGGCCAATGCGGGAGGATTGCTTGGGCCCAGGAGTTTGAGACCAGCCTGGGCAATATAGTGAGACCCCCATCTCTATAAAAAAATACAAAAATTAGCCGAGCATAGTGGCACATGCCTGTAGCTCCAGCTACTTGAGGGGCTGAGGTAGGAGGATCACTTGATCCTGGAAGTACAAGGCTGCAGTGAGCTGTGATCCCGCCACTGCGCTCCAGCCTAGTGACAAAGCAAGATCCTGTATCTATTTATTTACTTATTTTGAGACAGTCTCACTCTGTTGCCCAGGCTGGAGTGCAGTGGCACCATCTCGGCTCACTGCAAGCTTCGCCTTCCGGGTTCACGCCATTCTCCTGCCTCAGCCTCCCGAGTAGCTGGGACTACAGGCGACTGCCACCACACCCGGCTAATTTTTTCTATTTTTAGTAGAGACGGGGTTTCACTGTGTTAGCCAGGATGGTCTCAATTTCCTGACCTGGTGATCCACCTGCCTCGGCCTCCCAAAGTGCTGGGATTACAGGCGTGAGCCACCGCGCCCGGCCAAGATCCTGTATCAAAAAGAAAAAAAGAAGTAGCAGACACAGTGTAGTCCCCGTGGGCCCTGCACTGGCCTCCCTTGGTGTGGTCACTGTTCTTCACTGTGGTGTTATGTGTCACAGTCACAGAGCCACATTGGGACACTCTGCAGACCACACTAACTGAAGACTGTGGCTTTCCCATGCGTGCCCTTTCTGTTCTGGGACCCCATCCAGCAACCACACTGCATTTGTTTGGTTTTTTGAGAGAGGGTCTCGCTCTGTTACCCAGAGTGCACTGGTGGAATCTCAGCTCACTGCAGCCCCGACCTCCCGGGCTCAGGAGATCCTCCTGCCTCAGCCTCCCAAGTAGCTGGGAGTACACGTGTGCCCCACCACACGTGGCTAATTTTTAAATTTTTTGCAGAGACAAGGTCTTGCTGTGTTGCCTGAGCTGGTCTCCAACTCTGAGCTTAAAGGTTCCAACAGCCTCAGCCTCCCAAAGAGCTGGGATTACAGGTGTGAGCCACCGTGCCCAGCCCACACTGCATTTTGTCTCCTCCGTCCCCTGGTCTGTGAGTCTCCCAGACTTTCCTGTGTTTTCCGACCTTGACGGTGTCGAGCAGGCCTGTCATGGTGTCTGTAGAGCGTCCCCCACGTTGGGTCCGTCTGGTGTTTTCTCGCAATTAGACTGGGTGATGGGTTTTGGGAAGATGCCCACAGAGGTGCGGGGCCCTTCCCGTCACACCGTATCAGGGTCCTGACGTCCGCACGGCTTTCTGATCACCTGGCCAAGGTCTGCCTGCCAGGTGTGCACTCTGACAGGTCCCTGCTTTCCCGCCCGCTCTGTCCTCTGGAAGCCGCTCACTGGGTCCAGCCCCCGCCTCCTGGAGGGAGTGTCTGCGGACATTATGTGGAATTCCTCTGTGAGGAAGATTTGTGTCTTCTCTATTTATTTATTTTATTTTATTTTTGAGATGGAGTTTTGCTCTTGTCGCCCAAGCTGGAGTGCAACCTCTGCCTCCCAGGTTCAAGTGATTCTCCTGCCTCAGCCTCCCGAATAGCTGGGATTACGGGCGGCCGCCACCGCGCCTGGCTAATTTTTGTATTTTCAGTAGAGACAGGGTTTCACCATGTTGGCCAGGCTGGTCTGGAACTCCTGACCTCAGATGATCCACCTGCCTCGGCCTCCCAAAGTGCTGGGGTTACAGGCGTGAGCCACCGCGCCCGGCCCTCTTTTCTGTTCGTTGATGATAATTTATCTGTGTCATATGGACTCACGCACTTTATGCTTTGGATTGTAATCCAAGGCTGTCACTATGAGTTTGTTAAACTGTTCCAGCTTTGGCGTCTGGCAACTCCTTCAGCTGGCCCATGTCCCTCTGAGATAACCTCAGTGTCTGTGCTCATGGGGGGTTTTTAGTGTAAGCACCTCATTTTCAGATACTACACATTGCTGCAGGCTTAGCCTGTCCCAGCCTCAGAACTGGCCATTTCTCCAAGGAACCCTGGATCTTCTCCATAATCCAGTTGTCCTCACCATCCCGTTACCCTGCCGTCCCTTCTAATTCAATCCAACCTGCACCAACACCCAGAATTTGGTGTAAGTGGAAACCCAGGGGCAGCACAGGGCTGGGCGGGAAGGGCTTAAGGTGTCCTCTACCCAGGAGGGGACTTGCTCTTGCTTTGCAAACTGATGATTGAGACCAGGGGCAAAGCAGATGCAACCCCTTCCAAAGAGCACCGGCCGGCCTCTGCACTGCCGGGGAGGCCACGGGGTGCCCGGGACAGGCACGCTCCCAGGACTTGTCTGGGGCTGGTCAGACCCCTGGCCTCAGGTGTTCGTCAGGAGGACCCGGGCGCTCGGTGGTGCCACTCTGGTGTGTGCTGGCGCCCTGCAGTCCCGATTCCTCCTCTAGGGTGGGGATGGGTGTGATCCAGCTGTATGTGGGTGGGGACCCTCCTGTGTGAGCCTCGCCTTTATCCAACTTCCACGGTTCCTGGTGCTACCCACTTCTGAGCCTTCATGTACCAAGATGCAAACCCCGGTCCGTGTCGGCCGTGTGGCTGTTCCGAGATGCAAACCCCAACACGTGTCGGCCGTGTGGCTGCTCCGAGATGCAAACACCGGTGCGTGTCGCCCGTGTGGCTGCTCCGAGATGCAAACACCGGTGTGTGTCGCCCGTGTGGCTGCTCCGAGATGCGAACCCCGGTCCGTGTCAGCCGTGTGGCTGCTCCGAGATGCAAACACCGGTCCGTGTCGCCCGTGTGGCTGCTCCAAGATGCAAACACCGGTGCGTGTCGCCCGTGTGGCTGCTCCGAGATGCGAACCCCGGTCCGTGTCAGCCATGTGGCTGCTCCGAGATGCAAACACCGGTGTAGCTGCTGGCGCAGGGTGTTGTTTGCGTTAGGAGTGTGTGCAGCTGTGCTTTCTGGGCTGCACCTTTGCCATCTGCCTTTCCTGTTGTTTTGCTGAGTGGAGCATACTAAGTTCCACTCTCCGCCTCTAACCCTGGAGTCCAGACGGCTCTACCCACAGCTATTTTCTCCTTTCAAAGTAACACTTGCATGTTTTGTTCATAATTATGAAAGCAAATTATGTTTTAATTCTATTGAATTTCAAAACTACAGATAAGCAAAGAGAAGAAAATAAAGAGCCGCACAGCTTCACACACAGCAGCACTGCCTTCCCGAGGCCTGACCCCTCTTTCTTTCCTCCTTGCCCCAGCCTCTCGCTGTCCATCAGACACACTCGGCTCTGCCCAGTGCTGGGGTCAGTCTTTCTGACTTCTCTCCTTTCATTATCAGGCTCAGGGGAGTCTACTCACATTTTCTGGAAGGACGAGCTATGCTACGTGGCACAAGCGAAGGCTTCCCTGGGCTTCCTTGGCTCACGTGCTGCTAGAAAGCACCACACACCAGGGCCACGTTCACCCAGTTCACTCTGTGCCTGATGATGGGCCATGTACCCCAACGCCGGGGGTTCGGCAGGTGCCACAAGCTGCAAATCAGGCCCCGGTCTCTGTGGACATGCCACTGTGGCCCCATCAGCCTTCACTCCAGCTCTCTGCAGCCTGCCAGGGGCTCCCATACTTTCTGGAAGCCCCTGGGGGCCCCACTCCCAGAGGTACCTGGCCTTTCCTAGAACCTCTCCCGGGCCCTGTGTCCTGAGATTCAGATCTCTGCCTGTGACCTTCGTACAGCCCCATTCTGCTGATGACACATATTCTCCTTTCCCGGTCCCTAAACAAGGATGTCCAAAGCTCCAGCCTCTCCACTCCTCCATCTTCTCTATGCCCTTTCAGCTTTAACTCTCATCTCTACTGAGGCTCCACTCCTGAAATCCAGCTGTTTTCTAGGCACTGCAACTGCATAGCCACCCGCCCCTGCTGTTCCCAGGAGGTTCCGACGCAGGTGCTGGGAGTCCTGCCTCCAGATCCTCTGCTCCTGAGGACCCCGGACTGAGACAGTGTCTTTGCACTGACCAGGGTCTTCCTGTACACCAGATGGGCAGAGGCCAGGCTGGGGAAGTCCCCAAGATGCCAGAGGCCTCGTGCTGGGCTGACCGCAGGTTGCTGACCTGGGGCTGCAGGGGCCTCTGACGGCCTGAGCAGCCCTGAGAACCACAAGGTTCCTGGTGGCCACTCCAGGAAGCTGCAGGAGGCCCAGAACACGGTGGCACTGACCCCAAGCGCTTAGGGTGGGCAGGCGGCTTGCTCACAAGAGGCAGTGACACTGGGCCCTGCTTGCTCCCTGAGGGCCTCGTGAGACCCCTATCTTGTGCCCCTCCACACCAGAGCACACAGAGGCGGCAGGATGTCCACACGGCTGTGCCCCAACCTCAGCCCCAGCGGAAAGGTCCCATGGGAGGTGCTCCCTGGCGCTCACAGACGAGAAACGTACTTTAATTTTGAGCCCACTCAACTGCACTGTGCCAAGGCCCGGGGAAAACACTGTCCTGGCTGCCCTGACCTTGCTCCCCAGAAGACGGCGCCCCACTGCAATGGCAGGCACGGAGGCCTCCCTGTGTGGGGCGTCCCGCACAGCTCTCTCAGTGCAGGCCCCTTCCTGCCACCAGTTTTGAAAATGCCTAGGAGCTCTTCTTAGATAAGGCAAGTATCTTAGCTTTAAGAGCTGGAAGGAACACAAGCAAAAGAACCTGAAATCCTCTTATGAATATTTAAAACTACTGTATTTCAAAATCTAAAAGTAGTACATGCTCAGTTTAAAAAAGCCACGTGAGGTGGCTCATGCCCATAATCCCAGCACTTTAAGAGGCTGAGGTGCTTCTGCTGAGAGTATGGAGAGGAAAAACAACAACAACAAAAAATCCCAACAACAACAACAAAAAGAGGCCAAGGTGGGAGAATCACTTAAAGCTAAGAGCTCAAGACCAGCCTGGGCAACACAGCAAGACCTCGTCTCTACCAAAAAAGAAAAGTTAGCCAGGTATGATAGAGCACACTTGGAGCCCCAGCAACTCAGGGGCTGAGGCAGGAGGATTGCTTGAGCCCGGGAGTTCAAGGCTGCAGTGAGCCATGACAGGGCCACTGCACTCCAGCCAGGGGCACAGAGCAAGACCCCATCTCAAAACAGACAAACAAACAAACAAACAACTGTATAAAACAACTTCCTCCACCCTCACTACCCAGACACACAAGAAGGATAGAGAACTCTAGAGTCCTCTGATTATAGATATTTTAAGTTACCTGATGCTTTTAACTTTTACAGAAAATCAATAACCGTCCCTTGCAAATGTATTTCTAAACACACACCAGGAATCCACAGCATGAGCTCCCAGATGGAGAACCAAGGGAGGCACCATGCTGCTTTAATGCTTGTGCCTCGGCGGGCACAGTGGCTCACGCTGGTAATCCCAGCGCTTTGGGAGGCCGAGGTGGGAGGAATGCTTGAGCCCAGGAGTTCAAGACCAGCCTGGGCCACACAGCAAGAACCCCTGTCTCTATTTAAAATAATGATTTTTTGGCTGGGTGCAGTGGCTCACACCTCTAATCCCAGCACTTTGGGAGGCTGAGGCGGGTGGATTACCTGAGGTCAGGAGTTCAAGACTATCCTGGCCAACATGGTGAAACCCGTCTCTGCTAAAAATACAAAAAATAGCTGGGTGCAGTGGTGTGAGCCTCTAGCCCCAGCTACCAGGGAGGCTGAGGCAACAGAATTGCTTGAACGCAGGAGACAGAGGTTGTGGTGAGCCAAGATCGCCCCACTGCACTCTAGCCTGGGCGACAGGGTGACACTTGGTCTCAAAAAAAAAAAAAAAAAAAAAAGGCCGGGCGCGATGGCTCATGCCTGTAACCCCAGCACTTTGGGAGGCCGAGGCAGGTGGATCACGAGGTCAGGAGATCAAGACCATCCTGGCTAACACGGTGAAACCCCGTCTCTACTAAAATTACAAAAAATTAGCCGGGCGTGGTGGCAGGCACCTGTAGTCCCAGCTACTCGGGAGGCTGAGGCGGGAGAATGGCGTGAACCCGGGAGGCAGAGCTTGCAGTGAGCCGAGATCGCGCCACTGCACTCCAGCCTGGGCGACAGAGCAAGACTCCATCTCAAACCCACCCACCCCCACCCAAAAAAAAAAGATTGGTATTTTAAAAAGACTGGATACGTTGGTTAGACATGGATTTACAGAAACCAGCACCCGCACAGCGTCAGGGTCAGTCTTTGAACCGATCCCTTGTGGTCTTTGGGAGAGTTTCAAAGTCTTCTCCACATAGCTTTGCCCCTTTTTCTAAACTTTCAGGTTATTCCTAGCCACTGCCGGTTCTGGGGTGGGCGGGCTGTCGGAACCTCTCCTGCCTGGCCTGCAGTTTCTGGGGTGGGTGGGCTGTCAGGAACCTCTCCTACCTGGCCTGCAGGTTCTGGGGTGGGCGGGCCGTCGGGGAACTTCTCCTACCTGGCCTGCAGGTTCTGGGGTGGGCGGGCCATCAGGGAACTACTCCTACCTGGCCTGCAGGTTCTGGGGTTGGCGGGCCGTCAGGAACCTCTCCTACCTGGCCTGCAGTTTCTGGGGTGGGCGGGCCGTCAGGAACCTCTCCTGCCTGGCCTGCAGTTTCTGGGGTGGGCGGGCTGTCAAGAACCTCTCCTACCTGGCCTGCAGTTTCTGGGGTGGGCGGGCTGTCGGGAACCTCTCCTGCCTGGCCTGCAGTTTCTGGGGTGGGCGGGCCGTCGGGAACCTCTCCTACCTGGCCTGCAGGTTCTGGGGTTGGCGGGCCGTCGGGGAACTTCTCCTACCTGGCCTGCAGGTTCTGGGGTTGGCGGGCCGTCGGGGAACTTCTCCTACCTGGCCTGCAGGTTCTGGGGTTGGCGGGCCGTCGGGGAACTTCTCCTACCTAGCCGGCAGGTTCTGGGGTTGGCGGACTGTCGGGGAACTTCTCCTACCTGGCCTGCAGGTTCTGGGGTTGGCGGGCTGTCGGGAACCTCTCCTACCTGGCCTGCAGTTTCTGGGGTGGGCGGGCTGTCGGGAACCTCTCCTACCTGGCCTGCAGTTTCTGGGGTGGGCGGGCCGTCAGGAACCTCTCCTGCCTGGCCTGCAGTTTCTGGGGTGGGCGGGCTGTCAAGAACCTCTCCTACCTGGCCTGCAGTTTCTGGGGTGGGCAGGCTGTCGGGAACCTCTCCTGCCTGGCCTGCAGTTTCTGGGGTGGGCGGGCCGTCGGGAACCTCTCCTACCTGGCCTGCAGGTTCTGGGGTTGGCGGGCCGTCGGGGAACTTCTCCTACCTGGCCTGCAGGTTCTGGGGTTGGCGGGCCGTCGGGGAACTTCTCCTACCTGGCCTGCAGGTTCTGGGGTTGGCGGGCCGTCGGGGAACTTCTCCTACCTGGCCGGCAGGTTCTGGGGTTGGCGGACTTTCGGGGAACTTCTCCTACCTGGCCTGCAGGTTCTGGGGTTGGCGGGCTGTCGGGGAACTTCTCCTACCTGGCCTGCAGGTTCTGGGGTTGGCGGGCTGTCGGGAACCTCGCCTACCTGGCCTGCAGTTTCTGGGGCTGGCGGGCTGTTGGGGACCGTCTCCTACCTGGCCTGCAGGTTCTGGGGTGGATGGGCTGTTGGGAACCGCCTACCTGGTCTGCAGGTTCTCGATCTCAATGCTCTTCTCCCTCTCCATCTTGCACAGGAGCTCCTTCTGACGCCGGGTCTCTTCCAGGACCATCTCGCAGGCTCTCAGCTCCTGCTCCTTCAGCTGCTCCTCCAGGGCGTTTGCTCTTGAAAGGCAAAGGGAGGAGCTGAGCTGTCTCCAGGCAGGGTGTGCAGTGGCTCCACCCATGCCCAGAAGCTGCCTCAGGACCTCCAGAGAACCTGCCTCCACTCGGGAGTAGGGCACCGAGAAGGGCATCCCCGAGCTCTGGTCAAGGCAGTTCTGAAGCAGCGAATACACCCCCAGATGGCCTCGCCTCCCACACTAAAGGCACCTGGGGTGGCCGGAGCAGTGTCCACTGCACCTAGGCCCAGCTGATACCCACAGGCACTGCCCGCTTGTGGCCTGTGGACCGCAGCACTCAGAGGGCCTGAGCCCGCCAGGTAACTTCTCCTGGTGCACTCTGTGTTCATGCAGCTGCTCCACCTGCAGCCACTACACACAACGCGTGCACTCAGAGCCCAGAGGCACGGGGCCTCGGGACGGGGCGTGGAGGTGCCAGGGCCACTACACACAACGCGTGCGCTCAGAGCCCAGAGGCACGGGGACTCGGGACGGGGCGTGGAGGTGCCAGGGCCACTACACACAACGCGTGCGCTCAGAGCCCAGAGGCACGGGGCCTCGGGACGGGGCGTGGAGGTGCCAGGGCCCAAGGGCCACAGCATTTCCAGGAAGTGAGTGTCTGATGAGCACGTGGTCCGCGGCAGCTGAACACCAGAGAACTGAGTGTGCTGGCGGAGTCTGCCTTCAGCTGCAGTACAGTCAGTTCATGGCACATCACCCAAAGGTGCTCACGAGGCTTCCTGAGATGCCAGGTCCACATGGGAGCCAGGACGAGTCTGGCTCTGGCAGCTGGGCACATCCGGGCCCCAGAGGCTGTGAGGGGCCACAAGTGGGGGGGGGGCCCACTCTGCTCCCAGTCCCCTCCAGGCTGGGGAAGTGGGTATAGAGACCAGTCCCATCCAGGTCACCTCAGAGCAGAGGCAGGGCAGGTGTCAGCTAGACCACAGGGGAAAGGGAATATTCCCACAGGGCAGGGAGACCCTGGCCTTCCTGAGATCTTCACAACCATCCGCAGGAGACAGGACTGAACCATCCCAAAGAGAAGGGCACAGGCCCTGCCCACTGACACAGCACAGCCCACGCCCTCTGGCCCTGCCTCGCACAGAGCCTCTCATCCTTGTGGTGCCTCACACGCAGGAGTGAACAGATGGCCAAAGATCACCAGACACAACAGGAAAGCTTTCAACAGGAAGTGGCCAAAGCAAACACCAAGTGAGGACCCAGGGAGACACATGATGCAGCAGACAGCAGGGAAAGGTCCCCGAGCCAGCGGCCTCCGCGAGCAGAGAGCCAAAGCTGCAGCGTCAGGGCAGCCTGCTGCAGAAGAGACAAACAACAAGGAACAGCTCCCAGGAACTGAAAGCGTGGGAAGGACAATTTAAAAGTCCGATTGAGATGCCGGGCTCACGCCTGTAATCCCAGCACTCTGGGAGGCAGAGGCGGGCAGATCACCTGAGATCAGGAGTTCGAGACCAGCCTGACCAATATGGTGAAACCCTGAATCTACTAAAAATACAAAAATTAGCCGGATGTGGTGGCAGGTGCCTGTAGTCCCAGCTACTCGGGAGGCTGAAGCACGAGAATCATTTGAACCCAGGAGGCAGAGGTTGCACTGAGCAGAGATCACACCACTGCACTACAGCCTGGGCAACAGAGTGAGACTCTGTCTCAAAAAAAAAAAAAAGATCTGATCAAGAGTTGAAGGAGAAAACTGAGAATATTACATAGAAAAAAAGAACAGAAAGATAAAATTAGAGACGAGGAAAGTTTAAAAAAGGAGAGGAAACATCCAGAAGGCCCACTGTGTGACTAGCAGATGTTCAGACAGATGAGAGGGAGAGGCCGCATGGTGAAATAACTTCAGAAGTCTTCCCACAGCGAAAGGACGCGTTTTCCAGATTTAAAGGCTGAAAACCTAGGCCGGGCGCGGTGGCTCATGCCTGTAATCCCAGCACTTTGGGAGGCCGAGGCAGATGGATCACTTGAGGTCAGGAGTTCAACACCGGCCTGGCCAACATGGTGAAACCCCGTCTCTACTAAAAATACAAAAATCAGCCGGGCACAGTGGCGCATGCCTGTAATCCCAGCTACTTGGGAGGCTGAGGCAGGAGAATCACTTGAACCCGGGAGGCGGAGGTTGCCATGAGCGGAGATTGTGCCATTGCACTCCAGCCTGGGTGACACAGCAAGGCTCTGTCTCAAAAAACAAAACAAAACAAAACAAAACGAAATAAAGGCTGAAAACCAGGTGCACAGCACGGCAAATAATACAAGATCCTCCTCCAAGTATGTAGGGTGGGAAACAGAAGTTACAGAGAACATCAAGGCCCTGCGGCACCAGAGGTTCCTCAGTCACAGCACCGGGTCAGAGGTCTTCACATTCTCAGGGAATTCGATCTCTGACCTAGAATTTTATGCCCAGCTACACTATGGACTGGAGCAGGGTGGGAGGAAAAAGCACTTCCACACAAGCAGTTCTCAGAGCATCTGGCTCCTGTGCTCCCTTTTCCAGGCAACTATCAGTGACATACTCAGAAAATGAGTTGGCAAAACAGAAGAAAACGTGGGACCCAGAAAATAAGGAATCAAACACAGGAGAAAGCACTCGGAATTCCTAGGATGGCAGCTGTACGGCACAGCTAGAGAGCAAATGGCTCAGAACGGGCAGATGATACTGAAAACGGGAAACGTACTCTTAGGATGGCAGCTGTATGGTAGGGCTAGAGAGCAAATGGCTCAGAACGGGCAGATGATACTGAAAACGGGAAACGTACTCTTAGGATGGCAGCTGTATGGTAGGGCTAGAGAGCAAATGGCTCAGAACGGGCAGATGATACTGAAAACGGGAAACGTGTTGTTTAGGACGTTGGAGGTGAGCACCACAGGGAACAGCCACAGGAACTGAATGTGGCCGGGGCTGCACTGCAGACGGTCAGTGGGTGGTGCCAGGCGGCAGTGTGGACTTCACACCACACACACGGAAAACAGATGAACATACTCCAGACTCAAATGAAACCTCCACAGTCAACTCGACAAAGGCATCTAGGCTGGACATGGTGGCTCACGCCTCTGATTTCAGCACTTTGGGGGGCCAAGGTGGGAGGATCGCTTGAGGCCAGGCGTTTGAGACCAGCATGGGCAACATGGCAAGACCTCATCTCTATAAAAAAATTAAAAACTAGGCCGGGCACGATGGCTCACGCCTGTAATCCCAGCATTTTGGGAGGCTGAGGCAGGCAGATCACAAGGTCAGGAGTTCAAGACCAGCCTGGTCAATATGGTGAAACCCCGTCTCTACTAAAAATACAAAAATTAGCCCAGCGTGGTGGTGCATGCCTGCAAGTCCCAGCTACTCAGGAGGCTGAGGCAGAAGAATCGCTTGAACCTGGGATGCGGAGGTTGCGGTGAGCCAAGATTGCGCCACTGCACTCCAGCCTGGAGACAGAGAGAGACCCCGTCTCAAAAAAAAAAAAAAAAAAGCTGGGTGTGGTGGTGCACACCTGTAGTCCCAGCTACATCGAAGGCTGAGGGAGGCGGGTCGCTTGAGCCTGGGAGGTGGAGGCTGTAGTCAGCACTCAGCCTGAGCAACAGAGCGAGGCCCTGTCTCTCAAAAAACAAAACAAAACAAGTGCATCTGGCAGCCCCCCGGATTCTCCTTGACAAGGAGGAGACAGTGGTCTTTGGTGGCACTGCTTATGTGTAGCGCACTACGGGAGTCCAGCCCCTTCACCAGCATGCCTGGCCCCTCTCCACTCTGCAGCAGGGGCTGGTAGCAGGCCCTCTTCTGCTGAGAATCCTGGAGAACGGGCAGCCGCCAAGCCCAGGGTCTTCACTCCACAAGAGCACATGCTTTGCTTTGTTAGAATTAAAATGATGTGCAAGTTATGCCCACAATCCCATGAGGCATTCCAATTCTCAGCGCTCACAGGGCAGATGGTCACAAATGTTAGTACCGTGAGGGTGAGGGCTTGGGGGCTTTGGGGATGCTGACCACAAATGCCCTGCTGCCAACACACGTGTGTGCAGGCTGCTCAGAGCCCTGAATCTACCTGCTCAGTGGTGATGAAGACACTGAAGCTTCAAGGGACAGGGCCCTTGGCCGAGCTGAGAATATGTGGAAGAGCCGGGATGTGCCCGCGCAGCTGGGCAGGGACAGAAGCTCACAGGAAGAACCTCTTCTGCAGATCCCACAGGTGCCTCATAGGCCTCCTGGCTGTCTCCTCTGCCCACAAGAGGCTGCCGGTGCCCAGCTACAGGTGTCATAGCCTGGGTAGCTGACTCCTGGGACAAGCTCATCTTACTTTGCACCGGAAACAGTCCTGCAAATCGGCTATGAGACAACATGGCGTGCCTCGTGTGAAAAACACCGAGAATTACACGGTATTCTAAGAAAAGTCTGCAAACCAGAGTGAGGCAAGCAGCTCCCACTCTTTCTCTGCAAACACGGCGTCACACTTCGCTTCCTCCCCAGCACTCCTGCCCACAGCGATGAGACTGCGCGTCCTGTCGCGTACTCAGCAGTCACTGCTCATTTCGCTTTCTGCTGCTGAGCGACTTCTCTAACCTGCATTCTTCCAGGACGGGCAAACCCCGTATGGACCAGAGTGGTGGGAGAGCTGCACCTCCAGGCCTGCTGGTGAGGCTGAGCACTGCGTGGGTTCGCAGTCAGTTCCTCCTCTGTGTGGGTCAGGTCTCAGCGCTCCCGAGAGGGAGGCAGTGCCCTCCTCTGGCCCTCTGTGTGTCTAGGGTTCCATGAGAGCACCAGTCAGAGCCTCAGGTCGCCTGCCTGCAGCCCATTGGGTAGGCTCAGATGACCACCTGGCACCACCCCCTCAGCCGGCTTCCAACGGGGATGGACGGGTGGCCAAGCCCCTGCTGTGTGAGGTAAAGAGAAGTAAATGGGGGCTGACAGGCGGGCACAGGAGGCGCCACGCAGAGGCCCGGGTCTCCTGGCCCAGGCTCACCTGTGCACCAGCTGCAGGTTCTCCTGCCTCAGGCGGCTGTGTTGCTCACCGGTGGCTGCCGTGTCCTTTTCCAGCTCCAGCACACGCCTTTCCAGGAAGACAACCTTGGCAATGAGACCAGGATTCAGGGTCAGGCAGCCAGAAGCAGAAGGGCCTGCACCCCCAAGGGAACAACCTGGGAGGCCGCCTGGGGATTTTCTCAGCACAGAATCAGATCCACCTAGCTAGGCTGGTGTTGGATCCAACTTGTCCCATAAACCCACAAAGGTGCAGCTCCTAATGGGGCCGGGGTCTTGGGGAGCACTGTCATTCGACCCACAAATGCACACAGTGCCGCAGCTCTGAGGGCTCGGGGCCCAGGGGTGCCTTTGGACTGGCTGGCTGGTGGGCAGCAAGACTCAGCCCCCCAACACACAGTTGGGTCTCTGCTCAGCCAGATGCAGCTCACAGAGGCAGCCCAGGTGCCCATGGATGCAAGGGACAGACAGATCCATGTCTCGGTCCCTCCCTCAGAGAGTTCACACCAAGATGAGAATCAGACACCTGCGGAGGTAGGAGAAGGAGTGAAGGGAGCAGAGGAGGACTTGGCCTGGGTCAGCAGACTTGAGATGCTAGAGAAGTTGTAGGGAGGAGGTGGTGGGGATGCAAGAGGAGGTGAAGTACAGGAGGAGGTGAGGAGGTACAGGAGGAGGTGAGAGAGTACAGGAGGAGATGGGGGTATAGGAGGAGGTGGGGGAGCAGGAGGAGGTGAGGGGGTACAGGAGGTGAGGGGTGCAGGAGGAGGTAAGGGGGTACAGGAGATGAGGGGGTACAGGAGGTGAGGGGGGTACAGGAGGAGATGGGGGTGCAGGAGGAGGTGAGGAGGGTGCAGGAAGAGGTGAGGGGGTATAGGAGGAGGTGAGGGGGTATAGGAGGAGGTGAGGCGGTACAGGAGGAGGTGAGGGGGTACAGGAGGTAAGGGGGGTGCAGGAGGAGGTGAGGGGGTACAGGAGGAAGTGAAGGGTACAGGAAGAGGTGAGGGGGGTACAGGAGGAGGTGAGGGGGTACAGGAGGTGAGGGGTGCACAAGGAGGTAAGGGGGTACAGGAGGAGATGGGAGTGCAGGAGGAGGTGAGGGGGTACAGGAGGAGGTGAGGGGGGTACAGGAGGAGGTGAGGGGGTACAGGAGGTGAGGGGTGCACAAGGAGGTGAGGGGGTACAGGAGGAGGTGAGGGGGTACAGGAGGAGGTGAGGGGGGGTACAGGAGGAGGTGAGGGGGTACAGGAGGAGGTGAGGGGGTACAGGAGGTGAGGGGGTGCACAAGGAGGTGAGGGGGTACAGGAGGAGATGGGAGTGCAGGAGGAGGTGAGGCGGGTACAGGAGGAGGTGAGGGGGGTACAGGAGGTGAGGGGGTGCACAAGGAGGTGAGGGGGTACAGGAGGCAAGGGGGGTGCAAGAGGAGGTGAGGGGGTACAGGAGGAGGTGGTACAGGAAGAGGTGAGGGGGGTACAGGAGGAGGTGAGGGGGTACAGGAGTAAGTGAAGGGGTCACAGAAGGTGAGGGGGTGCAGAAGGTGAGACGGAGTCTCCCTCTGTCGCCCAGGCTGGAGTGCAGTCGTGCAATCTCGGCTCACTGCAACCTCCACCTCCCAGGTTCAAGTGATTCTCCTGCCTCAGCCTCCCAAATAGCTGGGATTACAGTTGCCCGCCACCATGCGTGGCTAACTTTTGTATTTTTAGTAGAGACGGGTTTTCACTATGTTGGCCAGGCTGATCTCAAACTCCTGACCTCAAGTGATCTGCCCGCCTAGGCCTCCTAATGTGCTGGGATTCCAGGCGTGAGCCACCACATCTGGCTGAAAAGCGGGTCTTGACCACGGCAAGGCTGCCTTGCCCTGGCTGCTGTCACCCATTCCATTCAAGGCCCCAGGAGAAGCCCGTTCCTCAGGCTGTTGGCTCTGCAGTAACTGCAGGGCCAGCCCTTTTCTCCCAAATCATGGGTGCCCCAGGTCGCGTCTCCATGGGCCTGGTGGACTGAATGTCTGGGTGTCCCCTAGCCCGACTCAGACACAGTGGGGGTGGGATACCCGAGGGTGCTCACTCACTGCCCAGTCCACTCCTCCCAGCTGGCCCTTCGTGCACAACAGGAAGACTCCTTTTTCTCACATGGCCACGAGACCCCTTGGGGAAACCTGCCAAAGAGCATCGGGGCTGGATGGACAGTCTGGGGAGCCCTGGAGGACATGGGGTCACCTCCGGCTGTGCTGTCCCCACCTCCCGGGGTGTCTGCAGCGGCCCTTAGGCGTGGCTGTGTTCTAAATCCCCTACTTGCCACCTACCCAGCCCTCCAGGGCCTACCTTGTCAGCAATGTCCTCCTCTGGGCCCTCCATGAGCTCGGGGGAAGGGTCCTCCAGGGCCTCCATGGTCAGGGCCCCTGACTGGTGCAGGTACCTACAGAAAAGGCACAACAACAGAGGGAAGAAAGGGAAAAACCACAGGACATGCTCCGTCAGCACAAGCACTCCCAAGTCAATCTGAAAAGCAGGCAGCAGCATTGCAGGGGACAGGTCCTCCCCTGATCTGGGTGGTGGTCTTCTCCCACTTAAAGCACTATATACAGGGGGAGGTCCCAGGCTGGACATCTTTACCAGGGGCTGGGAGAAAGCAGGCCGTGCTCTGTGGTCTCAGAGTCTTCCTGGCGCTCTTTGGAACCTGACAGAACACGACCTCAGTCCCAGCCAGCGAGTGGCAGAGAGGACTTTGTACTTGGCTGCAATAAAACATGCCCTTCTTCGCAGAGACACGAACAATCTCGTCTCTACCAGAGGCCTGTAAGACATCAGCTCAGGACCTTGACCTGCAGACACCTCCCCTGTGCACATTCTTGATCTCAGACTTTCACAGGTGCTTTCTGTGGCAGGAAGAGTGAGGGTCCCAGGAAAGGTGTGGATCCCAGAAGTCTCACTCAGTGTCACCCTCACGGACACACTGGGAAACTGGTCCGACCGAGTCCAGGAAGACAGCAGACACACGTGTCCTCTGTGGCACCAGCTCCTGTGGACACGCCCCCAGCACCGCAGGCCATGCCAGTTACTACCCGGGCCAGGCTCGGGGACACAGCCTCATGGTCCTGAGTAGACGCAAAGGCCCATAGGCTGCGGCCTTGGGGCAGGAGCTTCTCCAGGGAGTGTGAACTTAGGCGCGCAGTAAGCGCGTGCTTGTGGTCACCACGTGGTCAGATTCGCTGCGGTGAATCTGTACCAACCCAAACTTGCCGGGAGTACAGAAAACTCTCAGAGCACTCACAGAGAAGAGCCAACAGCAAAGGTGCATGTTCAGTTCTTTATACATCCTGGGAACCTCAGTACCAAGCCAGGCTCCAGGCTGACAGCCTGATGCTCAGAACTGCGTGACCGTTAAAAAGCACTGGCCCTCTCCGAGCTTCCTTGCCTATGAAATGGGGGGACCCTCTCCCAGCCTCCTTGCCTATGAAATGGGGGGACCCTCTCCCAGCCTCCTTGCCTATGAAATGGGGGGACACTCTCCCAGACTCCTTGCCTATGAAATGGGGGGACCATCTCCCAGCTTCCTTGCCTATGAAATGGGGGATCCTCTCCGAACTTCCTTGTCTGTGAAATGGGGGGACCCTCTCTGAACTTCCTTGCCTGTGAAATGGGGGGACCCTCTCCCAGCTTCCTTGCCTATGAAATGGGGGACCTTCTCCGAACTTGTCTGTGAAATGGGGGGACCCTCTCCCAGCTTCCCTGCCTATGAAATGGGGGGAGCCTCTCTGAACTTGTCTGTGAAATGGGGGGACCCTCTCCCAGCTTCCTTGCCTGTGAAATGGGGGGACCCTCTCCCAGCTTCCTTGCCTATGAAATGGGGGACCCTCTCCCAGCTTCCTTGCCTGTGAAATGGGGGACCCTCTCCGAGCTTCCTTGCCTATGAAATGGGGGGACCCTCTCCCAGCTTCCTTGCCTATGAAATGGGGGGATCCTCTCCGAGCTTCCTTGCCTATGAAATGGGGGGACCCTCTCCCAGCTTCCTTGCCTATGAAATGGGAGACCCTCTCCGAGCTTCCTTGCCTATGAAAGGGGGGGACCCTCTCCGAGTTTCCTTGCCTATGAAATGGGGGGACCCTCTCCCAGCTTCCTTGCCTATGAAATGGGGGTCTAGAGGCAACTGAGGTTTAACCAAGGTCATGCATACAAACAGCTTGGCTAGGGACATAGCAGAGTAAGAATTCCATAAAATGTTAATATTTTTCCACTGAAAATGTCTACCAAGTGTATGAAGTTCGATTTGCTTCTCAGTACGGACTGGGCTTGAACATTTCCATCTTTTTCCCCATAAACGCTCTGAGGAGACAAGCCCTGTGAACGTGCACCAGCTGGAACACACCGGTGCCCTTCTGGGGCTCTGGGGATTTCATCAGATTCTCAAAAGCTGCTGCTGATACAGATCATGTTCTTGGCCAGTCGCTGCTCTTAAACGCCCATGACCTTGCCCCCAAACATGAGCCACTCCAGGCATGAAGCTGCAACCCAGAGCCCATCCTGAGAGGCCACGACCTGTCAGCACTTCTGAGCTGTCCTAGAGGCGTAGGCACTTCTGGGGCTGACTCGGGGACACAGCCATCCCCAGGCACCCAGCGTGCAGCCACCACACGTGGCCACCAACGTGAGGCAGAGGGTCCTCAGCATGGGTCATGCGGCTGCTTATTTATTTACTTATTTAATTTTTTTTTTTTTTTTTTTTTTTTTTTTTGCGACAGAGTCTTGCACTGTCACCTGGGCTGGAGTGCAGTGGTGCAATCTCAGCTCACTGCAACCTCTGCCTTCCGGGTTCAAGCCATTCTCCTGCCTCAGCCTCCCAGGTAGCTGGGATTACAGGCACCTGCCACCATGCCCAGCTAACTTTTTGTATTGTTTTTTTTAGTAGAGATGGGGTTTCACTATGTTGGCCAGGCTGGTCTCAAACTCCTGACCTCGTGATCTGTGCGCCTCGGCCCCCCAAAGTGCTGGGAGTACAGGCGTGAACCACCGCGTCCGGCTGGGGCTGCTTATTTAAATCCCCTAGAAAGAGGGATTCTCCAGCTACACCACACCCTCACTTGGGAGGACCCTCCTCCCAGAGAGGGAGCTGTGGAAAAAGCCTGACCTGCCCCACAGGGCAGTAGGTCGAGCCTGGCTGGTGAGCAAGGAGGTACGGGGATCCCTGAGGCCTCCCACCCAGGGCCCAGGGAGCCTGCCTGCTGTGAGCACTTCCTCCAGTCCTGATGGACTCGGCTCTGCCCGGAGCCCCCGGTCTCTGCACACACAGCTGACTGGAGAAAGCCACTTCCATCTCATGGACAGGGACAGAACAAGGCTGAGGGAGGTGAGCAATGCAGCCAGGCCCGGGGGCTACAATGGCTGCTGGCAAAACCCACCATCTCAGCAATAGTTCAGCGCGAAGGGCTGAGAACTGTGAGAAGCGAATCGCGACGTTTATTTTGCTCTTCCTTAGCCTCTTGTGGCAGATTTGGGGCAAAACAACAGATTAAATCTTGTGTACATATATTTACATGTGGATAGACACACTGCAGAAGAGGTCTCTGTTTTGTAAACTCTAACGACAGATAACTGCAGATGGAGCTTTTTTTTTTTTTTTTTTTTTGAGACAGTCTTGCTCTGTCGCCCAGGCTAGAGTGCAGTGGCGTGATCTGGGCTCACTGTAACCTCTGCCTTCTGGGTTCAAGCAGTTCTCCTACCTCAGGCTCCTGAGTAGCTGGGATTACAGGCATGTGTGCCACCATGCCTAACTAATTTTTGTATTTTTAGTAGAGACGGGGTTTCACCATGTTGGTCAGGCTGTTCTTGAACTCCTGACCTCGTGATCCACCCACCTTGGCTTCCCAATGTGCTGGGATTACAGGCGTGAGCCACTGCGTCCGGCTCAGATTGGGCTTTTTTTATGCCAAAGGGTACCCGTGAAGGAAACATTAAATTTTAAAGGGTGTTTCTGACACAAGGCTGTGACAGCCAACTGCAGGCTGCGCCCCATCCTAGGCACGGGAGGCCTCAAGCAGATGCCTTAGCTGGCCTTGACCGGTCTTTCATGTCACCAGCTGCAGCCTGTCTGGAGTAAAAGACTTGATGAAGTGGGGAGGAAGGTGATGCTGAAGTGGTAACAGAAGTGTAGCTGGGGATGCACGTCACGTTCCTAAGAGCTCAATGCTTCTCTTTTTCTTTCTTTTTTTGAGATGGAGTCTCGCTCTTGTTGCCCAGGCTGGAGTACAATGGCACAATCTCGGCTCACTCCAAGCTCCGCCTCCAGGGTTCAGGTGATTCTCCTGCCTCAGTCTCCTGAGTAGCTGGGATTACAGGCACCTGCTAACACACCTGGCTAATCTTGTATTTTTTTAGTAGAGATGGGGTTTCTCCATTTTGGCCAGGCTGGTCTTGAACTCCCAACCTCAGGTGATCCACCCACCTCAGCCTCCCAAAGTGCTGGGATTACAGGCGTGACCTACTTACGCCCGGCCAGCTCAATGCTTTTCTGAAAGGGGTGAGCAAGACGACAGTTAGAAAAAGATGCATGATGACGTTCACCTCTGCTTCCTCTAGCCCCTAGCCCCTAGCCCCTAGCCCCTAGCCCCTAAAATGACAGAAAATGGAAAACAAGTGGGACGCGGTGGCTCCTGCCTGTAATTCCAACATTCTGGGAGACCGAGGTGGGAGGACTGCTAGAGCCCAGGAGTTCAAGACCAGTCTGGGCCTGTCTCTACAAAAAATTAAAAAATCATCTGGGTATGGTGGCATGCGCCTGTGGTCTCAGCTGCTCGGGAGGCTGAAGAGGGAGGATCATTTGAGCTTGGGAGGTCTGGGAAGTGAAAACTATTGAGAGCTGTGATCATGTCACTTCACAGAGCAAGACAGAGCAAGACTGTCTCAAAAAGAAAAGAAAGCCAAGAAAAGAGAAGAGAAACAAAAAGAAAAAAGTTTTCATCCATGGCCAGGTGTGACGGCTCATGCCTGTGATCCCAGTACTTTGGGAGGCCAAGGTGGGAGGATCCCTTCAGCCCAGGAGCTCAAGATCAGTCTGGGCAACGTAGTGAAACTCCATCTCTATTAAAAATTAAAAGACTAGCCAGGCATTGGCAATGCGCACCTGTAGTCCCAGGTCCTCAGGAGGAGGAGGTGGGAGGATGGAGTGAGCCTGAGAGGTCCAGGCTGCAGTGAGCTGTGATTGCACCACGGTACTTCAGCCCAGGTGACAGAGCAAGACAATGTCTCAAAATAAAAGAAAATGGAAAACAAAAGGTTTCTGTTCTTGGCTGGGTGTGGTGGCTTACCTCTGTAATCCGAGAATTTTGGGAGGCTGAGGTGGAAAGATTACTTAAGCCCAGGGAGTCTGGGGCTGTTGTGAGCTATGCTTGCACCTATGAATTGCCACTCACTGCACTACAGCCTGGGCAACGCAGCTAGACCTTGCCTATTTTCCTTTTTTTTTTTTAATTTTTAATTTTTAATTTTTTTTTTTTTTTTTTGTAGAGACAGGGTTTCACTAAGTTGCTCAGGCTGGTCCCAAAGAAACCGAGTCAGAAAGGTTAAACTTCATGGTAACAACTTTAGCTCTAGAAGATAAGCAATGCCGTCAAAAATCTTACAGGAAAATGATCCCACTCTCACAGTACAAACCAACCCAAGCTCAAGTTTATCTCCTGAGCACCTCTTTTCTCAAGAAGCTACAGGAAGATACGCTGGACAAAAACCAGAGAAAACAAATGAGAAGGAAGACGGGGCCAGGGAGCTAGAGGATCCAACCCCCGAAACAAAGGAACCCACCAGTGTGGGGAGACCTGTCCAGGACCACAGCCACGAGGCCTGGAGAACGCCCGGCACAACAGGGCAGAGAGGAGGCTCCAGAGGGGATGCTCCAGAGGAAGCTGGAGAGGCGTCTCCCAGCCCTGCCAGATGCCGGGCCACGAAGCAGGACGGGGACTAGGAAGGCAAAGCAGATAAAGACACGAAGGCAGACTCTGACGGCAGCAGAGGCCACCCGGCAGCCACACTGAGTGGCTCCCTGGGAAGGGCCTTAACCCTGCATGTTTATTTCGGTAAGAACTGGCAGGGGAGGAAGATAAAAGTGTATGTTGCCATCTTTCACAGCAGGAAGCCAACAGATCTATACGAAGCTGGAAAATGAAGAAATGGTCTTTAGGAATTGGAGTCAGACCCATCCCTCACCTTCGACTCACCTTGGGGAGCTGCCCAGACCCAGCTCTGAGAAGCCAGGCTCCTCACTGGGTCTCGCTACCTCAGAGCTAACATAGAGCAGACATCTGGGGATGGCGGCCCCTTCCAGACCTTAGTGAACATACAAGAGGCCCAGCACCAAAAGCTCTGACACGTACCCTCCCTGGTCACAAATCCAGGTCCAAATTCACAGCCCTGGAAACCCCTTTCCCAACACTCCCTCAGGATACCTTCAGCCCCAAACCATGTAAAGTAACTTGCAAGAGTTTAAAAAATACCTTGGAAAAGAACATTTTAAAATGTTTTTTAAAAAACTATGATTAATTATCCACTTCAGAACGTTTTTCAGCAGGAACCAGAGACCCACCTACCTTGCCACCTTCTTGCTGGAGAGCCGCTTTGTCGGACTGTGCAGAAAACAAAATAAACAGGAAAATTGTTAGAACAGACAGAGAGGAGCAGGAGGAAGCAGGAAACTCAGGCTGTGGAGATACGAGGTGGGCGGCCTTTCAGCAATGCTCCCGGCATGCAGGGCCCCCCAGACAAGTCCATGCACAAATGCTCACTCAGCAAAACAGCAAGGACACGGCAGTGCTGGGGTGAGGCCGCATACGTCTCGTTACTCCAGCCCCCAAAGAGGCTTCCAGATGCAGCCACCCCAGACCACGACTGAGAGGCCAGCGCCACACCTGGTCCCACCCGCTGGCTGCACTGTCCCAATGCTTCTGAAGCCAAATTACCCCCAAACGCTTGGCCTTCGGAGGCCCCCAAGTGAAAAGTGACCCAGGCCCCGCTGTGACAGGAGAGTTTGCCGCTGGCTTCGACTCAGGCACTGATGCATCATGCTCAGAACGCCTGCCTAGGCATCAGTTTGGAAACCTTTCCCGTTGCCATTTCAGGGCAGTAAATATAGCCAATTATACATCAGCTGTCTGATTTAACCATCTGCAGTGGCACATGGGCCAAACTTACCTTCTCCCTCATTTCTGAGGTCCAAAGTTGTATTTTACAGTCTAGCTGCTGAACTATTAGCCTCAGCCTGCAGGAAGACACCCTCACCCCTGGGGCCTGGGAACCATCACGGTCCTGGAACTCACAAAGCCACGTCTCTCTTCAGCTTACCTGTCTCAAAAACACCTCTGATTTTCTTTCCAGGGTCAGGCAGAAAAGTCTACTGGAGGGGCCGGGCGTGGTGGCTCATGCCTACAATCTGAGCACTTTGGGAGGCTGAGGCAGGTGGATCTCCAGAGGTCGGGAGTTCGAGACCAGCCTGGCCAACGTGGAGACACCCTGTCTCTACTAAAAATACAAAAATAACCGGGAATGGTGGCGCATGCCTGTAATCCCAGCTACTCGGGAGGCTGGGACAGGAGACTCGCTTGAACCCGGGAGGCAGAGGTTGCAGTCAGCCGAGATCACGCCACTGCACTCCAGCCTGGGCAACGAAGAGTGAAACTCTGTCTCAAAGAAAAAAAGAAATCTACTGGAGGAGAATCAGCTGCTGTGCCAGGTATTAACGTAGAGCCCCTCAGCTCTAAGTCCATCCTTTTTACTTGCCCTGTAGAAACAGAGCTGGGCCCTTAGCAGGCTCTTCCTCCACAATGCTGCGTGTCATCAGCAGAGGGAGCCGAGGAGTGAACACAGCAGGAAGAGGTTTGCCTCCTGGTTCTGACCACTCTCTGCAGGGCCCTCCGACACCTGCAGTCTCCCCAGTACCTACTCCAGGGAGCATCCTGCCCACTGTAGCCAGAGCCAGGGGCTTCCCTGACCCCATTCGGGTAGCTGTTCTCTAGGGGTGCCTCTGCCAAGTGTCCTGCAACAGAATAGCTTTCCTGGCAGCCAGGAGGCAGGTTCCCCACAAGCCCTGACAGCACGGTGGTGTCCCCACCACCCCGTTTGCAGCTGGTGCAGACCTCAGCCCTGGGTGGCAGTGACTGTAGCTGGGGGGCTCTGCCCCGGCCCTGGGTGGCGGCTGCTCCTGTGCCTGCTGTCCCTACACTCTGCAGAGTTCTTTTTACTCATCCCAACCAGTGCCTCATTACTCCCATAGCCTGTGACATTCTTTTCCTTTCCCTAATGATTTTTTAAATTTTTTGTTTGTTTGTTTGCATTATCTTTTCTTAGAGGCAAGGTATGACTCTGTGGCCCAGGCTGAAGTGCAGTGGTGCAACCACAGCTCGCTGCAGCCTCGACCTCCCCGGCTCATGTGATCTTCCGACCTCAGCAGCCTCGACCTCCCAGGCTCATGTGATCCTCCCACCTCAGCAGCCTCGACCTCCCAGGCTCATGTGATCCTCCCACCTCTGCAGCCTCGACCTCCCCGGCTCATGTGATCCTCCCACCTCAGCAGCCTCGACCTCCCCGGCTCATGTGATCCTCCCACCTCTGCAGCCTCGACCTCCCCGGCTCATGTGATCCTCCCACCTCTGCAGCCTCGACCTCCCCGGCTCAAGTGATCCTCCCACCTCCGCAGCTTCGACCTCCCCGGCTCAAGTGAACCTCCCACCTCAGCAGGCCTCGACCTCCCGGCTCATGTGATCCTCCCACCTCTGCAGCCCCGACCTCCCCGGCTCATGTGATCTACCGACCTCAGCAGCCTCGACCTCCCAGGCTCATGTGATCCTCCCACCTCAGCAGCCTCGACCTCCCCGGCTCATGTGATCCTCCCACCTCTGCAGCCTCGACCTCCCCGGCTCATGTGATCCTCCCACCTCAGCAGCCTCGACCTCCCCGGCTCATGTGATCCTCCCACCTCTGCAGCCTCGACCTCCCCGGCTCATGTGATCCTCCCACCTCTGCAGCCTCGACCTCCCCGGCTCATGTGATCCTCCCACCTCTGCAGCCTCGACCTCCCTGGCTCATGTGATCCTCCCACCTCAGCAGCCTCGACCTCCCCGGCTCATGTGATCCTCCCACCTCTGCAACCTCAACCTCCCTGGCTCATGTGATCCTCCCACCTCTGCAGCCTCAACCTCCCCGGTTCATGTGATCCTCCCACCTCATCCTCCCACCTCTGCAGCCTCGACCTCCCCGGCTCATGTGATCCTCCCACCTCAGCAGCCTCGACCTCCCCGGCTCATGTGATCCTCCCACCTCTGCAGCCTCGACCTCCCCGGCTCATGTGATCCTCCCACCTCAGCAGCCTCGACCTCCCCGGCTCATGTGATCCTCCCACCTCTGCAACCTCGACCTCCCTGGCTCATGTGATCCTCCCACCTCTGCAGCCTCAACCTCCCCGGCTCATGTGATCCTCCCACCTCAGCCTCCCAAAGCACTGCGATTTCAGCCCACACTCAGCCCATTCTTTGTAGTATTAAACTGTCCCTGTTCAAATTACTGTGTGGCTCTCCTTTCTCGATTGGAGACTAATAATGTATATTTTAATACAGGTTTTTTTTTTTAAGATGGAGTCTCACTGTGTCACCCAGGCTGGAGTGCAGTGGCATGATCTCGGCTCACTGCAAGTTCCACCTCCCGGGTTCACGCCATTCTCCGGCCTCAGCCTCCCGAGTAGCTGGGACTACAGGCGCCCGCCACCACGCCTGGCTAATTTTTTATATTTTTAGTAGAGATGGGGTTTCACCGTGTTAGCCAGGATGGTCTCGATCTCCTGACCTCGTGATCTGCCCACCTCAGCCTCGCAAAGTGCTGGGATTACGGGCATGAGCCACCGCACCCAGCCTTAATACAAATTTAATTTTATCTTATTATTGTTGAGACTCCCTAGAACTAATAGGACAGGACAGACTCATCGTTCAGTTTACCTACTGACCTTTCAGGGCCTGGACTGGCAGCCCAGCAACAGGATTTATAATTGAAAATACACCTCCAGGTGGCCAGGTGCGGTGGCTCACACCTGTAATCCCAGCACTTTGGGAGGCCGAGGCGGGCGGATCACGAGGTCAGGAGATTGAGACCATCCTGGCTAACATGGTGAAACCCTGTCTCTACCAAAAATACAAAAAATTAGCCGGGCGTTATGGCGGGCGCCTGTAGTCCCAGCTACTCGAGAGGCTGAGGCAGGAGAATGGAGTGAACCCGGGAGGCAGAGGTTGCAGTGAGCCGAGATCGCACCACCGCACTCCAGCCTGGGTGACAGATCGAGACTCTGTCTCAAAAAAGAAAAAGATAATATACCTCCAGGCAGGCTGGGTGCAGTGGCTCAGCCTGTAATCCCAGCACTTTGGGGGGTCAAGGCGGGCGGATCACGAGGTCCGGAGATTGAGACATGGTGAAACCCCGTGTCTACTAAAAATACAAAAGTTAGCCAGGTGTGGTGATGGGCGCCTGTAGTCCCAGCTACTCGGGAGGCTGAGGCAGGAGAATGGAGTGAACCCGGGAGGCAGAGGTTGCAGTGAGCCGAGATCGCGCCACTGCACTCCGGCCTGGGTCACAAAGCGAGACTCTGTCTCAAAAAAAAGAAAAAAGAAAATATACCTCCAGGTAAGGCACACTTCTTAGTTCCTACAAAATGAAATGTATTTAGAGGCTGCAGGGTACCTGGAAAATGCAACAGCTATTGGCCTGTTCTGAGGCGACTGGACATCGTATCTGACATCAAAGCTTCCAGAGGTGGTCTGGACTAAGTCACCTGTTGCCACCCACAAAGCATGACCAAATAAGCTTACTTTCAGGCAAGTCCATGGAAACTAAAACGCAAGATTCAGATCTCCTCCACTGAGGGTTATGGGGAGGATGTTCTGACTGGCAGTTGTGTGTCCTGATTGTGTTGAATTGAATAGCATATTAACCACTTGGTAGAGTCTTTTTTTTTTTTTGGAGTCAGAGTTTGGCTCTGTTGCCCAGGCTGGAGTGCAGTGGCAGGATGTTGGCTCACCACAGCCTCCACCTCCTGGGTTCAAGTGAACCTCCCATCTCAGCCTCCCAAGTAGCTGGAACTACAGGCATGTGCCACCATGCCTGGCTAATTTTTATGTTTTTAGTAGAGACAGGGTTTCGCCATGTTGGCCAGGCTGGTCTCAAACTCCTGGCCTCAAGTGATCTGCCTGCCTCCTCAGTCTCCCAAAATGCTGAGATTACAGGCGTGAGTCACTGCGCCTGGCCCGCTTCATAGAGTCTTAGGAAAAGGGGTAGCAGAACCTGGACGTGAGGCTCCACAGGACTTGCTAGTTGTACTTAGCTACATCCTAGTCCCTTCTCTGCCCCCACAAAGCCCAGCAGAGGTGACCATGGCCATCTTGGAGCTAGTTCTCAATGTGGGAAAAAATCAGTTCTATGTCAAAAATCTTCAGAAAATGAGAGACGAGACCTGAGTCTTCAGGCTTACTTTCATGTACGGAGATGACATGCTTGCACTCAACTTATCGGTGAGTGGGAGGGCAAGTCTCTGCGTGGGAAGAACAAATGGCCCCTCCCCAAGCAGGCTGAGCCATCGTCGCCGGGCCTTGAACCCCTAGCTGAACACACACGCAGGCAGAAACTGATTTCCCCTAAAACAGAGGTTAGCGGATCTTTGGAATCCAAGATTCTGGACGGCCTCGGGTCTCCCGGGAGGGCCCTGGACGGACGGCCTCGGGTCTCCCGGGAGGGCCCTGGACGGACGGCCTCGGGTCTCCCGGGAGGGCCCTGGACGGACGGCCTCGGGTCTCCCGGGAGGGCCCTGGACGGACGGCCTCGGGTCTCCCGGGAGGGCCCTGGACGGACGGCCTCGGGTCTCCCGGGAGGGCCCTGGACGGACGGCCTCGGGTCTCCCGGGAGGGCCCTGGACGGACGGCCTCGGGTCTCCCGGGAGGGCCCTGGACGGACGGCCTCGGGTCTCCCGGGAGGGCCCTGGACGGACGGCCTCGGGTCTCCCGGGAGGGCCCTGGACGGACGGCCTCGGGTCTCCCGGGAGGGCCCTGGACGGACGGCCTCGGGTCTCCCGGGAGGGCCCTGGACGGACGGCCTCGGGTCTCCCGGGAAGGGCCCTGGACGGACGGCCTCGGGTCTCCCGGGAAGGGCCCTGGACGGGCGGCCTCGGGTCTCCCGGGAAGGGCCCTGGACGGGCGGCCTCGGGTCTCCCGGGAAGGGCTCTGGGCGGCCTCGGGTCTCCCGGGAGGGCTCTGGGCGGCCTCGGGTCTCCCGGGAGGGCCCTGGGCGGCCTCGGGTCTCCCCGGGAAGGGCCCTGGGCGGCCTCGGGTCTCCCCGGGAAGGGCCCTGGGCGGCCTCGGGTCTCCCGGGGAGGGCTCTGGGCGGCCTCGGGTCTCCCGGGGAGGGCTCTGGGCGGCCTCGGGTCTCCCGGGAGGGCTCTGGGCGGCCTCGGGTCTCCCCGGGAAGGGCCCTGGGCGGCCTCGGGTCTCCCCGGGAAGGGCCCTGGGCGGCCTCGGGTCTCCCGGAAGGGCCCTGGGCGGCCTCGGGTCTCCCGGGAAGGGCCCTGGGCGGCCTCGGGTCTCCCCGGGAAGGGCCCTGGGCGGCCTCGGGTCTCCCGGGGAGGGCCCTGGGCGGCCTCGGGTCTCCCGGGGAGGGCTCTGGGCGGCCTCGGGTCTCCCGGGAGGGCTCTGGGCGGCCTCGGGTCTCCCGGGAGGGCTCTGGGCGGCCTCGGGTCTCCCGGGAAGGGCCCTGGGCGGCCTCGGGTCTCCCGGGAAGGGCCCTGGGCGGCCTCGGGTCTCCCGGGGAGGGCCCTGGGCGGCCTCGGGTCTCCCGGGGAGGGCCCTGGGCGGCCTCGGGTCTCCCGGGGAGGGCCCTGGGCGGCCTCGGGTCTCCCGGGAAGGGCCCTGGGCGGCCTCGGGTCTCCCCGGGAAGGGCCCTGGGCGGCCTCGGGTCTCCCCGGGAAGGGCCCTGGGCGGCCTCGGGTCTCCCCGGGAAGGGCCCTGGGCGGCCTCGGGTCTCCCCGGGAAGGGCCCTGGGCGGCCTCGGGTCTCCCCGGGAAGGGCCCTGGGCGGCCTCGGGTCTCCCGGGAAGGGCCCTGGGCGGCCTCGGGTCTCCCCGGGAAGGGCCCTGGGCGGCCTCGGGTCTCCCCGGGAAGGGCCCTGGGCGGCCTCGGGTCTCCCCGGGAAGGGCCCTGGGCGGCCTCGGGTCTCCCCGGGAAGGGCCCTGGGCGGCCTCGGGTCTCCCCGGGAAGGGCCCTGGGCGGCCTCGGGTCTCCCCGGGAAGGGCCCTGGGCGGCCTCGGGTCTCCCGGGGAGGGCTCTGGGCGGCCTCGGGTCTCCCGGGAAGGGCCCTGGGCGGCCTCGGGTCTCCCCGGGAAGGGCCCTGGGCGGCCTCGGGTCTCCCCGGGAAGGGCCCTGGGCGGCCTCGGGTCTCCCCGGGAAGGGCCCTGGGCGGCCTCGGGTCTCCCCGGGAAGGGCCCTGGGCGGCCTCGGGTCTCCCGGGAGGGCCCTGGGCGGCCTCGGGTCTCCCGGGGAGGGCCCTGGGCGGCCTCGGGTCTCCCGGGGAGGGCCCTGGGCGGCCTCGGGTCTCCCGGGAGGGCTCTGGGCGGCCTCGGGTCTCCCGGGAGGACCCTCTTCAAAGAGCACTTCTGCTTTCTCACCAGTGCTGCCAAGACCCCCGATGCTCCAGAATGGCCATCGGTGCCGGGCCCCACCCCCATCCTCTCCACCGGAATGGGCACTGGCTGGGGGCCCTGTGCTTCACAGCATTTCACAGAACATAAGAAGAGTTAAGTGCCCTGGAAATGGAACTAGAGGCAGGACAGAAGCCTCAATAAGGCCGTGGGCAGTGAGCGCCCGCCAGCAAGGATGTGCCTCGGCAGAAGCCCCCTGGGGCAGGGACAGGGCAGGCTCAAGACAGGTAAGCAGTTTCACAGATACCTCTAAACATGCTAGAACCATCAGGATAACTCACCTTTCTGCCACCTTTACAAACCCTCCCCACAGGCCAGGTCCCGTTCTTCAGGAAGCCGTCCCAGATTGCCAGCATGAGCCTGTATGCTCACTCACCTCTTCTGCTAGGCTAGGGCTGCTGTGGAAAGCTCCAAAGTGGCCCGTTTCTTCACCAGACCCTTCTGGAGAGCTGCCCACCCAGGGGCTTCACCGCAAGCGAAATCAACACGATGCCCAACGGGCACGTCAATATGTGCAAAGCACTCAAAACCGTCTTCTGTAACTGGGAGTTAGACATGAGGGCCAGCCACAAGAGCTCCCCTGCTGAGACACAGTGAGCTCCCTCACACGCTCACTGTGAGTATTCAAAACTCCATTTAAACTGACAATCCTGAAAGCTGTTTACATATCTGTTCTTAAAGACTAAATCTTTAACTTTCCCAATTCTGTCTCATGAGCTCAATGAAAGAAATCTTTTAGTAAAATGCAGAAAGTATCCTCTTTCACACACAGGACAGACAGCACAGCTTGCAAAGACCGATCACTTCCTCCCACCAAGACAAGCACTGGCCTGGGCTGCGCATGCAGGGGAGGAGGCAGGGCCCTGGTGGCCCCACAGCGTGCAGGGTGGGAGGCGGGGCCCCAGGGAGAGTCCCGCTGCCTGAGAGGCTCCTGGTCGCCTCGGGGCAGGCCCTCAAGGGGGCTGTGGGTATCCGGAGTCCCCCACACCCTGGGAACAGACAGCAAGGCCAGGCGCTGGTCAGTTACCTATTCATTTCAAGATCACTCAGGCGGGCAGAAAGATCCTCAAGGCGGTTGATTTGTTTGTGGCACTGGCTACAGTAAAACTCAAACGCCTCATCAGTGAGGATGCTGTGCAGCTTTGCGGCAAGAGGGTCAGTGCTAGAGAGACAGAAGCATCCGTTCAGGAGAGGATGAGGACCCGTGTGGTCATCTGTGACTCCGCACGAGGGGCCGAGGGGAACAGGACAGGACATGGTGTGGAACAAAAGCACGTGGAGAGAGAATGAGCTGTGCAATGTTCTGGCTCTTGCCTTTAGACCGCAGTGAGCCCACATCCCTCAGCTGCCTCCAGGAGCCCAGGACAGGCACCAGCTCGAGCCTCAGGGGGCCCTGCACACACCTGCTCCTCTGGGTCGGGTGCCCAGAAGAAAGCAGGGGCAGCCTGAGAGCCTCCTTGCAAAGCAAAAGCCCTTCTTTAACAAGAAGGTAAAAAACCATACTGCTTTCTCTTTTGCCAAAAACACATCAATGTGATAGCGAACCATGTCTCCGGGTAAACTTGTACTTACTGTACTATATTTATGATTACTCCAAAAACCACCTCTAGCAAAAACTATGCATGAATGATAAATCTACAATAGTTTTGTGATTTTTTAAGATGTGCGTTAAAGCCGGGCATGGTGGCTCCTGCTTCTAATTCCAGCACTTTGGGTGGATCGCTTGAGCTCAGGCGTTTGAGACCAGCCTGGGCAACATGGTGAACCCGTCTCTACAAAAAATACAAAATTAGCCCGGCGTAGTAGCTCATACCTGTAGTCCCAGCTGCTCAGGAAGCTGAGGGAGGTGGAGGCTGCAGTGAGCCATGATTGCACCACTCCAGCCTGGGCAATAAAGTGAGATCCTGTCTCAAAAAACCCCCAAAAAGACCGACCTGTCGAAACTCAGTGTTAGATTTTGTGGTGGTGCTAGCTAACCTCCCTGTGACTTCACCTCCAAGGGCTTCTGGGCCACTGGCAGGGGTGCTGCGTCTGCGACGCGAAGGCAAAGGAGCAAAGGCAGCCTCATCGCGGGCGCTGGGACCCACATGCTGTGGGAAACCATTTGGAAGCTCAAGTAAAGAAAGGTGAAAAGTGAAACATACAATGTAGCATAGACGTTACACTTCAAACAGGTAACAATGAAAACACTGAACAGGAGACAGGGACAAACTAAACACGTAGGAAGAGGTGATTACCAAGCACAGAGACCCAAGTTTAGAAACGCCCCAGTCCTCTGGCCCTTGTCTTGACACCACCACGCGCTGGGAGAGGAAAGTGCCTAAGACAAGCACACTGCCTCTGAGGACCGTCTGTGATGCCTCACTCATGCACAGCTCTCCCAGGACGCTCGCCGGGACCAGAGCACACAGGATATCCGTGCAGGGTCCCCACACCCAGGGCTGACGGGCGGCTTCAAGGAGGGCACATGGGAAACAAAAGGAGGGGGACCCTATGGGCAGACGAGCTGCTCAGCCCCTCCTGCACCGCCCTCCACCCAGGTTCCCTGGGCCTCAGTAACAGCGGGCGGGCAGCAGGCAAGGGAAGACTCTTGTGGCTGCTTAAAGAGGCTCGGCCTTGACTGCTGGCAAAGATGGACGACAACCTAGTAGCAAAGGGGAGAAGGGATTGAAGTAACAACCCCATCGGCCAGCCCAGGGTCTCCCTGAAGTCAGGAGCGTCCTAGAGGGACTGACTCCCACGTGGGAGCCCCTAGCCCTCAGAAGTACGTACCCAGACCCCCATGTTCGGATCCAAGCCAAGAGGACTCTGGACTCCCTAGAGTGACTCTGGACATTTGTGAGTGGGCATCTCGCCCACTGCGTGTTGTGCTTCTATTTATTCAGAGTCACAGCTTTCCAGTTTGGGGATGTCAGATATTTATAAGGAAATGAATCTGAAGACTCACTTATGATCATGAGGCCTCCCTCAAAAGCCTGCACAGACCACCATGTGATCCACGGCCCACAGCAAAGGAGCCCGCAAGCCAAGTGTGCAAACACAGCTCTGTGCCACAGGATTTTGCTGAAGCCTCAGAAATGTAGAGTGATCTGGGGATGTGGCTGGAGAAGAGGGACTTCTCCCAACTTTCATAAATCCAGGTATAAATTTAAAATTTTTGAATATGGTTTACTTAATCACATGACGTCAAGGAAAGCAAGTTCTCTCTTACCAATGCACGAACCAAAAAGGGAAACTTCCCACTACTAACCACGGGAAGAAGAGGGAGGAGGGTGTGCTGGAACAAGGCGTCATTACCTGGGCGTGAGGAAAGCGGGGTCACTGCAGCCCAGCTGCCCGTTGCATAGGGTCTCTGGGGACAGCTCCGCCTCACTGCCTTCACCGTAGTCCTCAAAGTGCTCCTCGCCCCCGATCACCGTGATGACAGACTGGCCATGGGGGTGAGGCCTGCAAAGTAAAACAGAAATGATGTCTTCTGACTGAAGGCCAGGGCACCCCCGAGCTGAGAGTGTGGAAGGTGCTTTCCATAGGGTGTGCTACAAGCCACACGTGAGTCCTGGGAGCCACGTTTAAAAAAAAAAAAAAAGTGGGCTGGATGCGGTGGCTCACACATGTAATCCCAGCACTTTGGGAGGCCAAGGCGAGCAGATGGCTTGAGCTCAGGAGTTTGAGACCAGCCTGGGCAACAGGGGGAGGCCTCAACTGCAAAAAACATTTTTAAATCACCCAGGCATGGATGCGCACGACTGTAGTCCCAGGTACTCGGGAGGCTGAAGTGGGAAGATCGCTTGAGCCTGGGAGGCCAAGGCTGCAGTGAGCAGTGATGATGCCACTACACTCCAGCCTGGGTGACAGAGCAAGGCCCTGTCTCAAAAAAAAAAAAAAAATAAATAAATCTGTTTCTTTACCTTTTTTTTTGAGACAGAGTCTGGCTCTATCGCCCAGGCTGGAGTGCAGTCGTGCAATATCGGCTCACTGCCAGCTCCGCCTCCCGGGTTCACGTCATTCTCCTGCCTCCGCCTCCCGAGTAGCTGGGACTACAGGCGCCCGCCACCACGCCCGGCTAATTTTTTGTATTTTTAGTAGAGACGGGGTTTCACCGTGTTAGCCAGGATGGTCTCGATCTCCTGACCTCGTGATCCACCCACCTCGGCCTCCCAAAGTGTTGGGATTACAGGCGTGAGCCACCACGCCTGGCCCGAATATATTTTAACAAAAAATTTTACTTAGCCCAACACGCAGTCATTTCAAAACCTCCAGCCTCTTCACACTCCTCACTCGTGTGCCCTCCCACGTCACAAGTTCCGCAGCCCCACACGGGACAGCACAGGTCGACACAAAGCAGCATCTGGGTTCAAGCACCTCTGCCTCTTCCCTAGGGAGCTGCTGTCCTCACACAACCACTGGGGGGCGCCGTTCAAACTCTACTTTAAGCTAAAACGTAACAGCAGCTGCGACAGGGAAAGGAAGGGGCTTCCAAATACCCACCCTCCTTCTGAAGGGAGTGACTCCTCCACAGCCAAGTTCTGGAAAACACAGCGGCCGGGGGCCATGTGAAACAGCTGTGCCTTCAGCGGCTCCTGTGCCCTAGCGGTCCCCACTCCCACCCTCCCGCAGGAGTCCTCGGGAGAACCTTCTGTGCAGGCCGGGCGCTGCTCCACTCCAGGAAAGAAAGGGGCCTGGCAGAGTGAGGCGACTCCTCGTGCCCAGGAGAAGGGGGCAGAGTCAGGAGGACTGCGCGCTCTGCTCCGCCCGGACCCACTGTGCTCAGCCGTGAGGAGTTCCAATTTCACACCCGCAGAAATGCCCACCACGCACCACTGCTGGGACAGCTCAGGATGAATCCCATGGCCTCAAACACGCAGGCTTAAACCAGGGCCGGGGGCGGTGGCTCACACCTGTAATCCCAGCACTTTGGGAGGCCGAGGCGGGCAGATCAGGAGATCGAGACCATCCTGGCTAACACGGTGAAACCCTGTCTCTACTAAAAATACAAAAAATTACCTGGGGGTGGTGGCGGGTGCCTGTAGTCCCAGCTACTCGGGAGGCTGAGACAGGAGAATGGTGTGAACCTGGGAGGCGGAGATGGCAGTGAGCCGAGATCGCGCCACTGCACTCCAGCCTGGGCGACAGAGCCAGATTCCGTCTCAAAAAAAAAAAAAAAAGAAACCAAAACCAGGAGGCCTGTGCCACTTCATGGCCTCCCAATAGGGTCTTCAACTTGGCGCTGCCTGTCTGCATCAGCCCCTTCCTTCCTACACAGTGACAGGGAGGTGTGGCTCCCTTCCACAGCCGCCATCTAAAATTAGGCTACGTTACAGGAAGACCTTATTTTCTGTTTCTTATGATTGGGTGCTTGTTTTACCAACAGGCTCAGATACTGTGACAGAAAACTGCCCTCTGAGGGGAGGAGAATCAGCGAGAGGAAAACACACACTGGTCCATCGGCCAGCAGGCCCTTCCCCGCCTCCCCGGGCCACCATGGTGAAACCTGCTACTCCCTCAGAAGCAATGACGAGGGGCTCAGCACCCCTCACCACCCCATCTCCTCCTCTCCTCAGGACACTTCTTCCTGATGCTTGACGGGAACAGAGAAGGCCCACATGCAACGTCACACTGAGGACCAAGAGGCCCAGGCCACACGGCAGAGACTGTATGAACCGGACGGTCTGCACCCAGACGCCCAACGTGCTTTCCACGGTCCACAGAAGATGAGCCGCGCTAGCTAGCAGTTAGATCCAGCCACAAATGAGCTGTTCAAAATGTGTGTCCCCCAAAAGAGTTATACTTTTGTTTTCATTTTTGAGATAGAGTCTCGCTCTGTCGCCCAGGCTGAAATGCAGTGGTGCCATCTCGGCTCACTGCAAACTCTGCCTCTCTGGGTTCAAGCGATTCTCCTGCCTCAGCCTCCCGAGTAGCTGGGATTACAGGTGCGTGCCACCAGGCCCAGCTAGTTTTTGTATTTTTAGTAGAGACGGGGTTTTACCAAGTTGGCCAGGCTGGTCTCAAACTCCTGACCTCATGATCCACCTGCCTCGGCCCCCCAAAGGGCTGGAATTACAGGCATGCCCCACCAAGAGTTATACTGCTTAAAAACTAGTGAGAAAATACTCGCCTGTAATCCCAGCATTTTGGGAGGCCAAGGAGGGCAGATCACTTGAGGCTGGCAGTTTGAGGTCAACCTGGCCAATATGGCGAAACCCTATCTCTACCAAAAATACAAAAAAATTAGCCAGGCATGGTGGCGGGCGCCAGTAGTCCCAGCTAATCAGGAGGCTAAGGCAAGAGAATCACTTGAATCTGGGAGGCAGAGACTGCAGTGACCCAAGATTGTGCCACTGCACTGCAGCCTGGGTGACACAGCAAGACTGTCTCAAAACAAAGCAAAACAAAATAAAAAAATTATGTAGCGATCACAGATCTGAATATGAAGGTAAAACAATAACACTTTTAAAAGAAAGCGTAAGTAAACATCATAGTGACTGTGTAGTAAGCAAAGATTTATCAAGTGGGACACAAAAGTGCTAATAAACATAAAAGAAAAATGGATAAGCTCAACTATAGCAAAATTAAAAACATCTGTTCTGGCCAGGGGCTGTGGCTCATGCCTGTAATCCCAGCACTTTGGGAGGCCAACGTGGGTGGATCACAAGGTCAGGAGTTCGAGACCAGCCTGGGCAAGATGGTGAAACACTGTCTCTACTAAAACTACAAAAATTAGCTGGGCGCCATGGCAGGTGCCTGTAATCCCAGCTACCTGGGAGGCTGAGGCAGGAGAATCACTTGAGCCTGGGAGGCAGAGGTTGCAGTCAGCCAAGATGGCGCCACTGCACTCCAGCCTGGGCGACAGAGCTAGACTCCATCTTGACAAAAAAACAGAAACAAAAATCTGTTCCTCAAAAGGTGAAAAGGAGACCCACAGAGCAGCAAAAAGGATCTGTGATACCCACACCCCATAAGGGACTCATATCGAAAGGACTCCTATAATCAGTGAGAAAAAGACAGAGGACCCAACAGACCAGGGGCAGGCCAAGTCCTGCCAATCCTGCGCAGCCTGTTTCTGAAAATTGTTTCACTGGGACACAGCCACGCTCACTGACCCACGTGCCTTTGGCTGCTTCTGCAGCACAACAGCCAGGCTGAGCAGTTGCCACGGGGGCTGCGTGGCCTGCAACTCTTCTAGAGAAAAAGTCTGCAGACCCCTCCCGCAAGCAGTGAGCAGGCAGAGGAGCTCCCACCCTGACAAAAGGTGCATGCCTTATTAGTCACCCGGGAAGCGCAAGTAAAAAGCATGTGGCAGGGTCTCTGCATGCCCCCCACAAGGTGAGCAGGAGAGCAGACACGGCCACATGCTGCTGAGGTCAGGGAGCCCAGGAGCCACAGATGCCGGAGGCTGGTGACCCTGCAGCCCCTGCAGGAACTTGCAAGGCTGAAGGGATGTGCTCCCGATGACCATCCTGCTTAGGGCCGTACCATGCTCCCAAAGACATGGAATCCCTACAGCAGTTTCACCCTCAAAGCCAACGACAGTGAACTACCCGCTGCCGCCGACAGGAGAGTCAACTCTAGAGTCGCAGCACGCTCTCGCAATAGAATCATAAAAGTCAACAGTTTACAGCAATGCACAAAAATAGGGCTGAATACGGCCAGACGCGGTGGCTCACACCTCTCATCCCAGCACTTCGGGAGGCCGAGGCGGGCGGATCGCCTGAGGCCAGGGGTTGGAGACCAGCCTGACCAACATGGTGAAACCCCGTCTCTACTAAAAAATACAAATATTAGCCGGGCGTGGTGGCGGGCGCCTGTAATCCCAGCTACCCGGGAGGCTGAGGCAGGAGAATCGCTGGAACCTGGGAGGCGGAGGCTGCAGTGAGCTGAGATCGCACCACTGCACTCCAGCCTGGGCGACAGAGCGAGACTCCGTCTCAAAAAAAAAAAAATGGCTAAATCCACAAGCGCAACAGCAAGTGGAAGAAGCCAGGCACAGGAAGGACCTCCCTGTGTGGGGGAACTTAAGGAAGATGCAGGGCCGGTGGAGAGCTGGCTGCTGTCAGGGGCCTGGGAGGACCCTGGGTGCGGGAGTGTTTTGTTCTTGCCTGAGAAAAGGGCCGTGGGAATGGTCAGTTTGAAAAACCTGCTGGCTGTGCACTTACAACATGGGCACTTACTTGTGGGTATATTATGTTGGCAAAAAGACTTAAGCTCTGTAAAATATTTGAAGAGGTTTATTCTGAGCCAGATAAGAGTGACTAACAGCCCGTGATGCCGCCCCAGGAAGCCCTGAGAGCATGTGCCCAAGGGCCGGGTTTATGCATCTTGGGGAGACAGAAGACATCAACCCTACATGCAAGATGCTGCTTCAGTCAGGAAACATGGGACGGCTCTAAGCGGGGGACGGGCGGGCTTCCAGGTCAAAGCAGATGCGAAGATCTTCTGACTGGCAGTTGTTTGTTTGAAAGAGTTATTATCTAAAGACTTGGAATCAATAGAAAGGAATGCCTCGGCTTAAGATAAGGGGCTGTGGAGACCAAGGCTTTATCAAGCAGATGAGGCCTCCAGGCAGCAGGCAGCAGACCTCACAAGGTGCCAGACTCCGAGTTAATTCCCTCCTGCACCAGGGAAAAGACCTGGGAAGGGAGGAGATTCTCTACAGGGTGCAGACTTTCCCCACAAGACACAGTCCTGTAGAGCCATTCTGAAAAATGTCAAAGAAATCTATTTTGGGGTAAAATACTCGGATTTCTTTCAGGGCCTGCCACCTGTCATGTGATGCTACACTAGAGTCAGGCTGGAATGTGGTGTGCTGTCGCTGCTATAAAAAGTCCGCCTTTGTCAGAGTCTGTTTAATGTGAATGCTGGTCAGCTGGGCCTCAGTTCCAAAGGGAGGGGCCCAATGAGGCCTGCCTGACCTCCCTAACCATGGCCTGAACTACATTTTCAGGTTGACTGAGCAACGCCTGAGGCTGAGAGAGGGGGTCCATCAGTTGGCTGAAGGCTGAGAATTTAATTTTTGCTTCACAATTACACTTCAGCGTGCTGAGCGGACTTTCCAGTAGCAGGGGCAACACGGAAAGCAGGTCCACGTGAGCCACTGGACACCTCCTTCATCTGACCTTCTCCCAGACTCTGCCCGTCCCTCTACTCCGGCCCCAACTAGCTCGAAATACGGGGGCTACAGAAATCCTGAGGGTGGGGGACAGGTGGGGAGAGAACATGGCCTCCTCAGGGGTGCTGCAAAGGTGAACGGGTTCCAAAACCCTGCCGAGACATTCACTTCTATAATTTCTATCTCTACAGCTAAAGATGTTGAGCAACATTTGAAACCACAGTCGTCCTGACAGGAAAGTCAGCTGGAACAGGGAGACTGCTCGGGCAAGGCGGGCAGGACGGTGTGGGCTCATCCCAGGAAGGTCAGGAGCTACTGCAGGGCCAAGCCCCACCCCCACATAATGGATGCTAACCAGCACGCACTCCTCCAAGACCCCAGTCTGCCCATCAGACACCTCCACAGGGTGCCACATCCCAAGGCCTCTCCAGGAGGCCCGTGGCGGGGTACAGACCTGCCTGGGAGCAGCAGCAGGGCACCATGGTCGGGCTCCTCCATGGCGTCCAGGCACTCAGAGGGCACGGCCGAGCCGCCGGCACTGTCTGCGTCCCCTTCAGGTTGCAGCTCAGGGTGCACCAGGGTGCTGGTGTCCTCGTCCGTGAAGGTCTCACACTCACTGTAGGTGCTCTCGGAGCCCATGTACGCGCTGTCCGTCACCTCGTTGGCCTAGGAGAGAGTGCGCCAGCAGTCAGCGGGCACAAGCTGGGAGGGGAACTGCGAACGCCCCACACCTCACTGCTGCAAGGCCCTGGAGAGGGCAGTGTGGAGGGAGGGGTCTGACGCCTGAAGTCCCAACTGTCTCTAAGCAGAGACATTACTTATAAAACACAATTCAGGCTGGGCGCGGTGACTCACGCCTGTAATCCCAGTACTTTCGGAGGCCTCGGTGGGTGGATCGCTTGAACCCAGGAGCTCAAGACCAGCCTGGCCAACAAAGTGAAATTTGTCTCTACCAAAAATACAAAACTTACCTAGATGTGGTGGCACCTGCCTGTAGGTCCCAGCTACTCAAGAGACTGACGGAGGAGCTTGCCCAGGTGCGGTGGCACCTGCCTGCAGGTCCCAGCTACTCAAGAGACTGACGGAGGAGCTTGCCCAGGTGCGGTGGCACCTGCCTGCAGGTCCCAGCTACTCAAGAGACTGACGGAGGAGCTTGCCCAGGTGCGGTGGCACCTGCCTGCAGGTCCCAGCTACTCAAGAGACTGATGGAGGAGCTTGCCCAGGTGCGGTGGCACCTGCCTGCAGGTCCCAGCTACTCAAGAGACTGACGGAGGAGCTTGCCCAGGTGCGGTGGCACCTGCCTGCAGGTCCCAGCTACTCAAGAGACTGACGGAGGAGCTTGCCCAGGTGTGGTGGCACCTGCCTGTAGGTCCCAGCTACTCAAGAGACTGACGGAGGAGCTTGCCCAGGTGTGGTGGCACCTGCCTGTAGGTCCCAGCTACTCAAGAGACTGACGGAGGAGCTTGCCCAGGTGTGGTGGCACCTGCCTGTAGGTCCCAGCTACTCAAGAGACTGACGGAGGAGCTTGCCCAGGTGTGGTGGCACCTGCCTGTAGGTCCCAGCTACTCAAGAGACTGACGGAGGAGCTTGCCCAGGTGTGGTGGCACCTGCCTGTAGGTCCCAGCTACTCAAGAGACTGACGGAGGAGCTTGCTTTTTGTTTTTTGGGGGTTTTTTTTTGAGACAGGGTCTCACTCTTATCGCCCAGACTGGAACGCAGTGGCATGATCTCAGCTCACTGCAACCTACGTGGCCTGTGTTCAAGTGATTCTCCTGCCTCAGCCTCCTGAGTAGCTGGGAAGACAAGCATGTACCATCATGCCTAGCTAAGTTTTGTATTTCTAGTAGAGACGGGGTTTCACCATGTTGGCCAGGCTGGTCTCAAACTCCTTACCTCAGGTGATCCACCCACCTCAGCCTTCCAAAGTGCTGGGATTACAAGAGTGAGCCACAGCGCCAGCCAGGAGGACCATTTGAGCCCAAAAGGTCGAGGCTGCAGTGAGATGTGATCACACCACTGTGCTCCAACCTGAGTGATAAAGACCCATCTCAAAAAAATTAATTAATTAAAAATAAATATAACAGCTGGCCGCAATGGCTCACGACTGTAATCCCAGCACTTTGGGAGGCCGAGGCAGAAGGATCACCTGAGGTTGGGAGTTCGAGACCAGCCTGACCAATATGGAAAAACCCCGTCTCTACTGAAAATACAAAATTAGCCGGGTGTGGTGGCGAACTCCTGTATCCCAGCTACTCAGGAGGCTGAGGCAGGCAAATTGCTTGAACCAGGGAGGTGGATGTTGTGGTGAGCTGAGATCACTCCATTGCACTCGAGCCTGGGCAACAAGAGCAAAACTCTGTCTGAAAAAAAAAAAATTAAAATAAATAAATACAGGCCGGGCGCAGTGGCTCACGCCTGTAATCCCAGCACTTTGGGAAGCCAAGGCAGGCAGATCACAAGGTCAGGAGTTCGAGACCAGTCTGGCCAAAATGGTGAAACCCTGTCCCTACTAAAAATACAAAAATTAGCCAGGTGTGGTGGCGGGCACCTGTAGTCCCAGCTACTCGGGAGACTGAGGCAGAAGAATCGCTTGAACCCGGGAGGTGGAGGTTGCAGTGAATTGAGATCACGCCACTGCACTCCAGCCTGGGCGACAGAGCAAGACTCCGTCTCAAAAATAAATAAATAAATAAATATAATTAGCCAAGTGTGGTGGCACATGCCTGTAATCCCAACTACTCAGGAGGCTGAAGCAGGAGAATGGCTTGAACCTGGGACGCAGATTTTGCAGTGAGCTGATATCATGCCATTAAGCTCCAGCTTGGGCGACAGAGTGAGCCTCTATTTCAAAAATGAAAATAAAATGAATAAAACACAATTCAACTTTTTTTTTTTTTTTTTTTGGAGAAGGAGTTTTACTCTTCCTGCCCAGGCTGGAGTGCAGTGGTGCAATCTCCAGTCACTGCAACCTACACCTCCCGGGTTCAAAAGATTCTCCTGCCTCAGGCTCCTGAGTAGCTGGGATTATAGATGCGTGCCACCACGCCACTAATTTTTGGGTTTTTAGTAGAGATGGGGTTTCACCACGTTGGCCAGGCCAGTCTCGAACTCCTAACCTCAGGTGATCCACCTGCCTCGGCCTCCCAAAGTGCTGGGATTACAGGCGTGAGCCACCGTGCCTGGCTGAATTCAACTTTTTTTTAAATGAAAAATAGGTACATGTCTGAGAGCAGAAAACAAGGTACTCTGAGTAATTTTTGTTGTTGTTGTTTGAGACAGTGTCTCTCTTTGAGACCCAGGCTGGAGTGCAATGGTGTAATCTCAGCTCACTGCAGCCTTGATCTCCTGGGCTCAAGTGATCCTCCCACCTCAGCCTCCTGAGTAGCTGAGACCACAGGTAAAAGCCACCATGCCTAATTTTTTGAAATTTTGTAGAAATGGAGTTTTGCCTTGTTTTCCAGGCTGTCTTGAACTCCTGTGCTCAAGTGATCCACCAGCCTTGGCCTCTCAAAGTGCTAGAACTATGGGTGTGAGCTACTGAGCCTGGCAGAGTAATTTCTTTTTTATTTTAATAAAATAGAGACAGGATCTAGCTGTAGCTGGGAACTACAGGTGCCACCACACCTGGCTCAGTTGTTTGTTTGTTTGTTGATTTATTTATTTTGAATCAGGGTCTCACTCTGTTGCCCAGGCTGGTCATCCACTCCGCACCTCAAGTGATCCTCCACACTGCTCAGATTACAGGTGTGAGCCATCGCAACCAATTGTTTTTACTGTTTTTACTGCTGTGTTTTTTTTGAGATAGAGTCTCACTGTGACACCCAGGTTGGAGTGCAGTCGTGCGGTCTTGGCTCACTGCAGCTTCAAACTCCTGGGCTCAAGCAATCCTCCTACCTCAGCCTCCTGAGTAGCTGGGACTATAGGTGTGAGCCACCACACCTCGCTGATTTTGTATTTTTTTGTAGAGATGGGGTTTTGCCATGTTGCTCAGGCTAGTCCCAAACTCCTGAGCTCAAGTGATCTGCCTGCCTTAGCCTCCCGAAGTGCTGGGATTATAGGCATAAGCCACCACACCCAACTTGTTTTTACTCTTAAGTATCTAGCATCTAGCATAGGACCAGGTATAGGTAGATAGTAAATATTTGTGGATCATACAAATGAACACAAAACTAAAGAACTATTAAACAGAACTTTTTTTTTCTTTTTCTAATTGTTCTTGTTTTTTGAGACAGGGTCTCACTCTGTCACCCAGGCTGGAGTGCAGTGGCACCATCTCAGCTCACTGCAACCTCTGCCTCCGGATTCAAGTGATTCTTGTGTCTCAGCCACCAAAGTAGCTGGGATTACAGGCATGCACCACTGTGCCCAGCTAATTTTTGTATTTTTTGTAGAGACGAGGTTTTGCTATGTTGCCCAGGCTGGTCTTGAACTCCTGGCCTCAAGAGATCTGCCCACCTCAGCCTCCCAAAGTGCTGGGATTATAGGCGTGAGCCACCGTGCCCAGCCAACATTTTCAATTTATAATTTCAACCTTAATGAAAATGAAATTGCTGGTTAGGAAAAGTGGCCAACATTTCATGCTCAGAAGACTCTGAGGTTAACAATTTGCAAATAAACAAGATCTCAGAAAAGCTGCAGTCCCAGCAGAAAAAGATGCCCTTTGCACTCTAGTTCTAGTATCGTAAGAAGCAGACAAAGTGGCTGGGCGCCGTGGTTAATGCCTGTAATCCCAGCACTTTGGAAGGCCGAGGCGGGTGGATCACAAGGTCAGGAGTTCGAGACCAGCCTAGCCAATATGGTGAAACCCCATCTCTACTGAAAATACAAAAATTAGCCAGGCGTGGTGGCACGTGCCTGCAGTCCCAGCTACTCGGGGGGCTGAGACAGGAGAATCGCTTGAACCCAGGAGGCAGAGGCTGCAGTGAGCCAAGATCATGCCACTGCACTCCAGCCTGGCAACAGAGCAAGACTCCATCTCAAAAAAAAAAAAAAAAGAAGTAGACAGTGTGCTAAGACCTGCGAGGGCTACCAGAGGGTCCCACCCCAGGCTGCACCCACCTGAGCCTCACTGGAAGAGACGTGAAGGGCCAGGCCGAGCTGCCAGGAGCCTGGCGCACTTGCGGGAGGCCGCAGTTCCATCTTTGGCCCCTTTATTAAAAGCCGTGTGACCTCAGACGTGTGACTCAACCACCTGGAGCCCTGCCGCAAACGGGGGTTATAAATTCTCGTCTCACAAGGTGGCCACCTCATGGAACCAAGAAAGACAACCCAGGAAGGTGCTTTTCAAAGCACAGAAACAAGGACTGCAGGGTGCGAGTGTCACTGGTGGGTGGGAAATCCCTGCCAGCTGCTTCTAAAGCCACAAGGGAACAGGGAGTGCTGTGAAGTGTACCTACTCTGGGTGTCCAATTATAATCTCCCCTACAATCTAAGGAAGTAATTCATAAAAACTAAGTCATTCCTCAAGAGCATCCACTGTAACATCCAGAACCAGGAGAGCACTGTAAGAAACCCCAGCTCTCGTGCTACTCACCGTCCCTGGGCAGCTCCCACTCCTGCAGGACGGCAGGGCCCAGGGCCCACTCAGGACAGGGCTGGCCTGTGCTGGGCCTGCGGGACGCCAGGCAGGAAAAGGCGGGAGTGGCCAGGAAAGCAGGCAGGCCCAGGATGTCTGTCAGAGGCTGGGCCTGTGGGGAAGGCATGACGGGGCAGGATGCGAAGCCCAGCGCACAGGTCCGAGACGGTTTGAGGGCAGTTGCCAGCTACCCCAACAGGATTGCACACTCACAGGGGCCACACTGCCCCAGAGTCATCAGTGACAAAGACTCACCCCAGGGGCACCAGGAAGACCCGCTGCTGACTCTAAAAAGTGTGGTTATTACAACATCAGGTTCAGTGGTTCAGTACGTAGCCTAAAATTTCTTTTTTCTTTTTTTTGATAGAGTCTCGCTCTTGTCGCCGAGGCTGGAGTGCAGTGGCGCCATCTTGGCTCACTGCAACCTCTGCCTCCCAGGTCCAAGCGATTCTCCTGCCTCAGCCTCCCAAGTAGCAGGGATTACAGGCGCCTGCCACAATGCCTGACTAATTTTTTTTTTTTTTTTTTTGAGACGGAGTCTTGCTCTGTCACCCAGGCTGGAGTGCAATGGTGTGACCTCAGCTCACTGCAGCCTCTACCTCCCAGGTTCAAGTGATTCTGCCTCAGCCTCCTGAGTAGCTGAGATTACAGGCACACGCCACCACACCCAACTAATTTTTGTATTTTTAGTAGAGACAGGGTTTCACCGTGTTGGTCAGGCTGGTCTCGAACTCCTGACCTTGTGATCTGCCCACCTTGGCCTCCCAAAGTGCTGGGATTACAGGCCTGAGCCACCATGCCCAGCCTAAAATTTTTTCTTTCTTTTTTTTTTTTTTTTGAGACAGAGTCTTGCTCTGTCGCCCAGGCTGGAGTGCAGTGGCGCAATCTCGGCTCACTGCAAACTCCACCTCCCGGGTTCAAGCAATTCTCCTGCCTCAGCCTCCCAAAGTGCTGGGATTACAGACATGAGCCACCGCACCTGACCTTGGACCAGCTTTTAAAAAGTCAATGGACTGGTACTTCTGACAGATGCCCGATGCCCTTCCCTGGCCAGTGTGGACCCTAAGTCCCCAACAGAAAGCATGATGTTTCTAAGAACAAACCCACACCTTCTCTCAAACAGCTCATGGAGCCCTGAGCAGAGCATCTGTCCTACGAAGGGAGGGAGGTCCGGGCAGTGGGGCCTGCTTATTTCACCAAGTTCCTGTTAGACCTGTAGCTGAGGATGGTGCCCCTGCAGGCAAAAGCCAGTGCCGCCTTAGAGCCACCTGTGCCTCCTCAGAGCTTAGACAGGATGGTTTGGGATGGAAAGAATTCTCCACGGACACAGGAACAATGAGGCAGATTCTACACAAACTCAGACTCCCTGTAAGCTGGATGCCAGGGCACCCTGCCAAGCCTGGAACTCACACGCTCCGCTCTGGACCCACCTTCACCTTCTCATTTCTAAAGTAAGCCTGAGGGCCAGACGCAGTGGCTCACTGTAATCCCAGCACTTTGGGAGGCCAAGGTGGGTGAATCACTTGAGGCCAGGAGTTCGAGACCAGCCTGGCCAATATGGTGAAACCCTGTTTCTCCTAAAAATACAAAAATTAGCTGGGTGTGGTGGCGGGCGCCTGTAATCCCAGCTACTCAGGAGGCTGAGGCATGGAATCACTTGAATCTGGGAGGTGGAGGTTGCAGTGAGCCAAGATCGCACCACTGCACTCCAGCCTGGGTGACAGAGTGAGACTCCATCTCAAAAAACAATTTAAAAAATAAAAAATAAAGTAAGCCGGGCCTCCCTGCCATTGCAGAGTGGCTCCGTGCACTGTAGATCCCACAGAGATGAACAGTTCCACTCCTCAGCGGCTTCGGTGACTGCACCCACCCCTTTATTTGCTCTGGGGTTGTGGACGTCCACTTCCATGCCATCGCCATCGATACTCAGAGCCCCTGGCCGGCTGGATGCCCTGGGGGTTCCAGACAGCTCATGAGGCTCACAGGAGCCACCCCACCTGCTCACTTCCCAATTCAGCCCTGCGGGTTGGTTTCTGCAGTTCAAGGCCTCCCTACATGGAGTTTTCCAGGGCAGCCATCACCTGCCTTTCCAGAGACAAAAATGTACCTCAGAGCACGGTGCCTGCTCACTCCCGGCCTCCTGGATAAAATGCAGTAACAGCTCACACCGGCCCCGGCAGTTTATTTTATTTGCCAGCCAGCCAGGACCTGGCCTTGCCCAGAAGCCATCAAGTCTATGCTACCAACTTTTTAACATTTTTACAAATTACCAATGTTAAGATGAACTCGCTTGAAAATCAAAGTGCATCTTGGAAAACGTCGCTATGTTGAAACGTTACATTCACTAATTAACAAGTCCCCTAAATCACCAGCGGACAGAGAAAAAGCCCGTTCAGGGCCATCAGTAACTCAAGTGGGGCCAACACTGTCCCCGTCACAGTTCCTTCTTCCCTGAGCCTCTCTCCACCACAGAAATAGGAATACTGGGCACAGTGCACACTACTGCCTCCTCTTACCCTCAGATGCTGGCCCGGGTGGCCTCACAGGCTGGGCCTGGCTCTGTACACACCTTCAGGAAGGGCATGCTGTTGGAGACCGGCTCCCCATCGTGTCTCCGTCCCAACCGGGTCACTGGCTTTTCTCAAACAACAATGTCACCTTCCTACTTGCTTGTCATGCTGGGGTTTCTGCAAAGCCTGTGCGCTCACCTGGAGGCACATCACCACCTAGGAGAAAGTTTAACCTGCTCCCAGACACGCTCTAATAAACCTCCTGCTGGTGTTGCCCAGGGAGGGGAAGGCAAAGTTCAGGAAGTGTCCTTGCTGGTTTAAAAAACGGTTAGTCAGTCAGGGCTGAAAACAGAGTGGCTTTTGTTTTTGGCTTCCTAAGCTGATAATGGTTTGCACAAAAGACACATTTCACTATCATTTCACTAAGGCAGCTCTTTGCTCCAGACATCGCCAGTAGTGGGAGAAGGAGGGAGGACGGGAGAGAGCGCGGCCCGACGATTCTGTGAGATGCGCCTTACACTCCCTGACTTTCCCTTCGCTCTTCCAGAAACCCGACAAACAGCCCCACCACCCCCTGGGCTCCACCTGCTCAGATCCTCAGACATCACCATGCCCAGGAACTCAGCGGCGCCACAGTCCATCCCCTTCTACTCTCCCCACTTACTCAGACACCATAGCAGCAACTTTCCCGTTATAAGCTGCCTGCTGAAAGGATCCCTGGGAAAACAGTGCGAGCCAGCAGACCCACTAGCTCGGCCATGACTAACTGCACATTTTACCCGACCACCCCGGTGTGAGCACTGCGATGCTCCCAGTAAAGAGAAATGGGTCTGACTGGAACCATTCAGAATATCAATCAATCAACCAATCAACCAATCAATCAAAGGTTTATTTACCTGAAGACTACCAGTGGAGGGTCCCCGAATAGGGTATCTGGATGGAACACATACTCCCTACTCATATCTTTATTAGACTTTTTTTTTTTAAGATGACATGATGTGCAAGCTGTTTTTTAAAAGAGCAAATTTTCCATAAGTTTCACAGTATCGAACTCCACTTTGTGGAAAATTACATCCCACCCTTAAAAAGCAAAGCAAGACATGGAGGAGAGGTAACTGCGTATTCACTAAGGGAAAGAGGCGCATCTGAAAAGGCTGCATGCCAGATGGTTCTAGCTCCGTGGCGTTCTGGAAGAGGCAGAGCTGTGGAGACACGGAGGATCGGTGGTTGTGGGGGCTGGTGTGAGGGATGAGCCGGCACTGAATCGACTCTGTGACACTATAATCGTGGACCTGTCAAAACACGGAATACACACCACCAAGAGTGAACCCTCAACTACGGACTTTGGCTAATACTAACATATCAGGCTGGGTGCGGTGGCTCACGCCTGTAATACCAGCACTTTAGGAGGCCAAGACGGGTGGATCGCTTGAACTCAGGAGTTTGAGAGCAGCCTAGGCAACACGGTGAAACCCCATCTCTACAAAAAAAAATACAAAAAATCAGCTGGGCGTGGTGGTTACTGAGTGTGGTCCCAGCCACTGGAAAGGCTGAGAAAGAAGAACACTTGAGCGCAGGAGGCGAAGGTTGTGGTGAGCCAAGATCGAGACTGTACCACCACACTCCAGCCTGAGTAATAGAGCAGACCGTCTCAAACAAAACAAAACAAATAATCATGTAACGTGATCCCGGAATGCTCTACACTATGTTCCATTTTCTGTAAACCTAAAATTGCTCTAAAACATGAAGCATATTCATTTTTTTAAGTCAAAAAACTTTCTTCCATTCTAAAAAAGAAATCAGGATCTAAAAATATGAGAAGGATTAGCTCTGACATGTCAGGTTCCCACCCTTCTGAAGTGACAAGCGTGAGGCTCGGCCACACCCTTCAGACCACGTGGGCCTTTAAGGATAAAATGCACTGGTGCCTTTGGTGCCTCGAGTAACGTCACTCAAGGTTTCCCTGCCCAGGGCTGCCATAACGAACTAGCACAGACCACGGGGCGTGAAGAAACACCAGTTTATCCTCTCAGTTCTGGAGGCCCGAAGTCCAAAGCCAAGGTGTGAGCAGGGCTGGCTCCTGCCTAAGGCTCTCGGAGAGGATGCATCTTTGCCTCTGCTGGCTTCTGGGAGCCCCAGGAGTTCCCTGGCTCTGGTCAGTCTCTGCCCTGTCTTCCTATGGTCTTCCCCCTGTGTGTCTCTCCCGTCTTCCAGGGACACCTGTCACTGGATTTAGGGCCCAAACCAGCATGATATCACCTTGAGATCCTTAATGAACTACATCCGCAAAGACCCTTTTTCCAAATAAGGCCACATCCACAGCTGCTGGGTGGACATATCTTTTGAGAGGCCACTCTTCAGCCACTGCACCATACATAGGATATAAACAATCAACAATGCCCTAACAAACATGAGAGGGGAACAAAAAGACAGATACACGTGAGAAAGAGTGCACAGGCACATGAACGCCCAGGAACACACAGTTCCCCGGACGTTGCAGACCAAGGGCTCTGGGTTACCCTGCAGAGCCTTGGGCATCTCCTCGTGAAGAAGCCGGGTCCTTCTCAGGGCACAGGAGCCACCGTCTGTAGTCCTGGGGTCTCCCAGCACGTTCTGCACACTGCAGCCATGCGAGAGGGTCCAACTCCCACCACACGCCCTCTTAGCCAGCACCTCACTGCTGCCTCACGTGCAGAAAGAGCACACCAAGGCCAAACATGGGACCCACGGTGGGCGCCCTGGCCCCAGAAGCTGCAGCCCAGCTGATAACTGGGACACCGCCGTAAGGCAGAACCACCCCCAGGGTCTGTGTGGGCAGAAGTTAAGCTGCCCACCCAAGGGTGAGGGTGACTAATCCCTGGGGCAGCTTCTCGGAACAGGGAACTGAGTATAATACCATGGCTCCCACGGTACAGTGGCGTCCAAAAGCAACTCAAAAACTACCCTGTGCCAGCCTCAGCTTTCGAGGAGTCAGGGCTCAGAGGACTGACATGAGAAGCCCAGGCCCTACCGGCCAGCAGCTCAGCCCCACTTCTGGTACCCTTGCTCGGCAGCAGGCTGACCAGGACTGGCGGCTGCCACCTCCACCTTCCCGGCGGCCCCCAAGGGCTCAAGTTCAACTTCATGCATTTTCTGCTGCAGCCACGTGGCTCTCCTGGAATCTAACCCTCCAGACCGGCGGACATGGTTACGCTCTGTCGACCACGGCTGTGCTCGAAGACCCTCTCCCCAGCTATGTTGAGAACAAGGGACCCACAGTGACAGGAGACACAGGAGACGCCACGTCACCATGACAACCCTGGCTGCATCTGGGAGCAGGGTGGAGGACAGCCAAGCAGGGGCAGGCATTAGTCAGGCATCCCCAAACACAGAAAATCATTTGCAAGTTGACAAAAGGAATCCTCCCAAGCCCTCTGCTCCGCCTGTGCCTGCCAGCCTGGCAGCGGGTGGTCATGACATCACTGCCCACCCCACTTCTGCTGGCGACAGGCCCTGGGGGAGGATTCCTGCCCAGGCTGACAGGGCGTGTGGGACAGACAACTGTGGGCCTCCCGTCACAGCCACAGAGCCCCACGGTGCACACAGGGCGGGAGGCCCTTCCTTCACGCCAGCTTCTACGGAAGACAGCCCGGAGGCAGGAGGCACGAGCTGTAGGGCATAAAGGAAGAGGTGGATGCCAGACTTCCCCCAAGCTCCTGGGTGAAAACCACTTGCCTCATAGGTGACGAAGTCATCGAACTCGTCCGGGCAGGCCAGGGGCTCCTCATCTTGGGCAGAAGCGACACCACCGTAGCACTGGCCATCAGGATCTGCAGGGAGAAGACCTCGTGCTCAACAGGCCACCCATAGCCACCCAGTGACGGGACCCCTGGCGGCCTCGGGACTCCCTGGGAAGGAGGCCCCCAGGGACAGATGTGTGGGAGTTGGGGGCCCTGGGGGGGGTCAAGACAAGCAAGGGAGTGAGCATGAGAAATCCAGGGAGAGAAAACAGCCTTGCCAACGGGTCAGAGATGCGTTGCCCACAGGAACAAGGCTTCTGGAGAGAATTCTGAGGAGGAGATGCAGAGGTAGGAGATAAACTTTTTATTTCTTAAAAGAAGCAGACAGCACTGCAAAAAAAAAAAAAGAGCAAGACATTGAGCTCCATAAAACTGTCCATGGCCTTTAAAAAGTGTTAGGTACCAATCAGATTTAAACCTTTAAAAACATTTACATGAGAAGGTGTAGGTATGATGAAATAATACAAAAACAACATCTTTTCCTGGGTGCTGGGTTCACGCGCAGTTTTCATTTTATTTTCTTTTTTTGCTTATCTTCTATAATCAATGTTCTATGAGAAAAACTTTAAAGGAAAAGCTATCTTCTCATGAGAGACAGGCTATAATTCTTACGTCAGCTACAGTCATCACTTTGCAAACACAACCAATCCCGCAGCACCTGCCTCTCCTCCTGTAGGAAAAGGCACTGGCTTCCAGCGTCTCAGTGATATTCACAGGTCAAAGCACCTTCCAGGGCCTGTGAGTGACAGAAGACACTTAGGTGTCTTCACACTGTCTCACTATTAATTCAACTACTTGCCTAAAATAGACCAGCTACTTATAAAATAGCATTACTTAATACCTTTAACACAATCTATTCTAATGTCAATCACTTATTTTAAAAGTGAAGGTTGGGGCCAGGCACGGTGGCCTATGCCTGTAATCCCAGCACTTTGGGAGGCTGAGGCAGGTGGATTGCTTCAGCCCAGGTGATTGAGACCAGCCTGGGCAACATGGTGAAACCCCATCTCCACAAAAATACAAAAATTAGGTCGGGTGCAGTGGCTCACACTCGTAATCCCAGCACTTTGGCAGGCTGAGGCAGGAGGATCATTTGAGGTCAGGAGTTCAAGACCAGCCTGACCAACATGGTGAAACCCCATCTCTACTAAAAATAGTAAAAATTAGCTGGGCATAGTGGCGAACACCTGTAATTTCAGCTAATTGGGAGGCTGAGGCAGGAGAATCACTTGAACCTGGGAGGCGGATGTTTCAGGGAGCCGAAATCACACCACTCTGCACTCCAGCCTGGGCGACAGAGCAAGACTCCATCTCAAAAAAAAAAGAAAGAAAGAAAAGAAAAGAAAAAAATCAGCTGGACATTGTGGGACACACCTGTAGTCTTAGCTACTCTGAAGGCTTGAGCCAGGGAGGCAGAGGATGCAGTTGGCCAAGACTGCACCACTACATTCCAGCCTGAGTGACAGAGCAAGACCCTGTCTCGAAGAAAAAAGAAAAGTGGAGACCAGGCATGGTGGCTCACACCTGTAATCCCAGCACTTTGGAAGACTGACACTAGAGGATTGCTTAAGTCCAGGAGTTCAAGACTGGCCTGGGCAATATAGCAAAGATCCTGTGTCTACAAAAAATAAAGATAAGGCCGGGTGTGGTGGCTCACGCCTGTAATCCTAGCACTTTGGGAGGCCGAGGCGGGCGGATCACTTAAGGTCAGGAGTTCTAGACCATCCCAGCCAACACAGTGAAACCCCATCTCCACAAAAACAATTAGCCAGGTGTGGTGGGGGCATGCCTGTAGTCCCATCTACTCGGGAGGCTGAGGCACAAGAATCACTTGAGCCTGGGAGGTGGAGGCTGCAGTGAGCTGAGATCATGCCACTATACTCCAACCTGGGTGACAAAGTGAGTCCCTGTCTCATAAATACGTAAATAATAAATTTAAAATAATAAAAAATAGGCCGGGCATGGTGGCTCACGCCTACAATCCCAGCACTTTGGGAGGCTGAGGTGGGCAGATCACGAGTTCAGGAGTTCGAGACCATAGTGGCCAACATGGTGAAAACCCGTCTGTACTAAAAATACAAAAATTAGCTGGGCATGGTGGTATGTGCCTGTAATCCCAGCTACTTGGGAGGGAGGCTGAGGCAGGAGAATAGCTTGAACCGGGACCCGGGAGGCAGAGGTTGCAGTGAACCAAGATCGCGCCACTGCACTCCAGCCTGGGCTACAGCGAGAGTCTGTCTCAAAATAATAATAATAATAATAATAAATTAAAAATTAAATTACATTTTAAAATGCTAACAGTCTTGCCTGCGCTTATAAACACTGAAACACAGAACTAAAAACTTTCAATATACAGCGAAGCATTTTGGACACAGCGCATGACAGCTCAGGTTCTGACAGTGGGCAAACAATCTGAGGGTCTTGCCCCAGAGGGCGGAGCAGGGGATATGAACACAGATGGCATTTTTATATTCTTGGTAGGACCTAAATACCATTCTCATATTAGTTTTCCTTATAAAAACTAAAACAATTTTCAATTAATTAGGAATTTTTCACGTGCGTTTCCCTTATTCTTCCAAAGCGTGAGGGTGTGTGAGACACAGCAATGGCCTATTTGGAACAATCCCTCTCTATCTCATTCTATTCCTGAAACAAGGCCTGTGGCTGTGACAGGAAAGCCTCCTTGTGCTTCCCAGCAAACTAGGCCAGCACATCCTGCTGGTCACTCCTCGACGCAGACAGGGCTGACAGACAACACAGGCTGCTGCAGCCACGATGGAGCTAACACCTGAAGTGAACTTTGGCTGAAGTGCGGTTTGGATGATCACATTTTCCTTTCTTCTAAATGCTATGAAATAATTCCAAAATCATCTTCGACTTCGTTTTATTCTAGTTTCACTCTCCTTCCGAACGAAACATAAATCATGACATCAAATTACTCAAAAGTAAAGCAGACCCCGCAGCCCCAGAGGCCATGTGTCCAATGCCATGGCAGCACCTCCTCCCTGACGCCCCAGGACCTCCTCCTCCATGACGCCGCTGCACCTCCTCCCTGAGGCCCCAGCACCTCCTCCCTGACGTCCCAGCACCTCCTCCCTGAGGCCCCTGCACCTCCTCCCTGACGCCCCCGCACCTCCTCCCTGACGCCCCTGCACCTCCTCCCTGACGTCCCAGCACCTCCTCCCTGAGGCCCCTGCACCTCCTCCCTGACGTCCCAGCACCTCCTCCCTGAGGCTACTGCACCTCCTCCCTGACGCCCACTCCACTCTGCAGTCAGCTCTGCAGTCAGCTCAGTGTCCCACCCCTCACACCAGCTCTCAGGGATGCCCCACCATCCTCTTCAGGAGCCTGGAGCTGGAGACAGAATTGTGAGGCCTGCCTCTCACCTGCTCCTTCTGACCCTGCCTCCCTGTGGCCTCCAAACATGCCAGGTGCAGCCCTGCTGGGATGCTGCCTTCCCATCCCAGACGTTCTCAGGGAGGCCTCCCCACTCCTCTGCCTCCCTAGCTCCTGCCTTACTTTGTGGTCTGTCTCCCACTAGAAAGCCAGCTCCCAAGGGCAGGGGTTCTGCACTGCCGTTTCGTGCTACGTCCCAGAGCCTGGAACAGGCTGGTTCGACAGCACTCACGGGCCCGTTGCCCCATGTGTCCCCATCCATGGTCCTCACAGGTGCCAGCCGTGCTCTCCCTCGGCTGCAGCCACCTCCACCAGCCTGGCTCAAGCTCTCATGCAGTGAGATAGGAGAGCCCTGGCCGGCTCACGATGACTAGCTCACCGCCCTCTCAAGCAGACAGGCGCAGGAGCCCTCCCAGGCCCATCTGTCAGCTGCTGGGAAGGAGAACGGGGTGCCCCAGCTGCTGTGGGATTGGCCCAGGTGACAGCAAAGAGAGAAGGGGACGGTGTCTGGGAGAAGGCCCCAGCTTGGCGTGTCAGGTGGCTGGGCAACCACTAAGAAACATCTGGAGATGGGCTGTCCTTGGACGATCACTCTCTCACCCCTTCAGTCACTAAGCCAAGACACCGGCAACCACAGGCAGCCACAGTCCACAGCTGGCAGCCCCCAGGCTTCCCAGACAGAGCATCGGGCTCCTCCGAGGGCAGCAGGCCAGGCTAGAGGCTTCATTTTGCTTGGTGGGCATCTCCCACACCCTGACTCCTGAGCTGAGAGTGGGCACCTTCCAAGCCAAGGCCTCCCAGGAACCCCTAGAGCTGAGCTTGCCCCATTTCACGTTAGCCATGGTCCACAGGAACAAACCAACCCCTACCCTGACGACAGAATCGTGGACCCAGGTGGCTCCCTCCTGCCCATGTCATGGTACCCGGGGCCACTGCTGTTCCCAGCCTTGACCCTGCAGAGGGATCTGAGCACTTCACCTGTCCAAACCTACAAAAGACCCGTCTTAACTCTCCATGACAGGCTGTGTCCCTGACTCCCGAGGGAACACATCTCCAGCCCAAATCTCCTGCAGGCTGCCCTCAGTCACAGGCCCAGGAACACGCTCTGCCAGCCACATTGTGCAGAGCAAGTTTACCCTATGACAAGCCGAGACCAGCACAGCCAGTGACTGGCCAGGGCCCTGAGTGCTCTGAGTCTTTGTGGCACCGAGGAAATGGGTTGTAACATTTATAACAAGACCAGCAGTCACAACAAAGAATTCCTGGTTTTATTCAAAATGCGTGGAGTTACAGTCCTGTTCCCTGTGATTTCATACACGTGCCTGTCACTAGAAAATGAACCACTGCTGGCCGGGCGCGGTGGCTCACGTCTGTAATCCCAGCACTTTGGGAGGCCGAGGTGGGTGGATCACCTGAGGTCAGGAGTTCACGACCAGCCTGGCCAACATGGCAAAACCCCATCTCTAACACAAAAAATTGGCCAGGTGTGGCAGCGCGAGCCTGTGGTCTCAGCTACTCGGGAGGCTGAGGCAGGAGAATCGCTTGAACCTGGGAGACGCAAGTTGCAGTGAGCCGAGATCACACCACTGCACTCTAGCCTGGCCGACAGAGCGAGACTCCATCTCAAAAGAAAAAGGAGCCAGTGCTGAGAGGCCGTGGCTACTGACAGGCCGCCCACACTCCCCTCTAAGCTCGCATCTACTTCCCTCTGTTTTGCCAAACAGTCCCCATGAGATGCCCTGCCACACTGCACCCTGCCCCATTTTCCCTCCTCCAATCTTCCAAAATGGTTACATCGCCATCTTCAGTTACATCAATATTCAATTTAACTATTATGGCTATGTAAAATATGGCTTGTTACTGGACCAAGAAGTACAGGCTGTCTTATTCCACTTCTTGTTTTTCATGGAAGTGGTAACTGCCTCCTGGGGTCTTGTGCTTGGCCTCCATGCACCCATCTCAGCCCCAAACACTGAGGCCTCTCCAATGACAACCAGTTCTGGGGGTCCCCGGGCTCCCTCACCATCAACCTAGAAGCCTGCATCCAGTAATTCTTGACTTAAGAGTGAAGACGAAACACAGCTATACAAAACAAAAACGACACAGCTACCAGCTTCATGAGCGGCTTTTCTCCTCCCTGCGACTGAGACCAAGCTAACGTGAGTCTCCAGCTCGCACCTCCATGAACTCAGGGGACCAATGATTAGAAAAGAAGCATCCTCTCAGGCGTACCCATCACATGCATAAAAACCACCCAGCCGGCCCAGCAAGTACCAAAGCATCAGTGTCATAAAGATCGCATTCTCTATTACACACAAAATTCTGTTTGGAATTAATGGCAAGTTTTTTTTGTTTTGTTTGTTTTTGAGACAGGGTCTGTCACCAGGCTGGAGTGCATGGAGTGCAGTGGCACAAACACAGCTCACTGCAGCCTCCACCTCCTGGGATGCTCCCACCTCAACCTCCCAAGTAGCTGGGACTACAGGCATACGCCACAATGCTCAACTACTTTATTTTTTTGCACAGCCAAGGTCTCACTATGTTGCCCAGGCTGGTCTCACCCTCCTGGGATCAACTGATCCTCTCACCTCAGTCTCCCAAAGTGCTGGGATTACAGGTATGAGCCACTGTGCCTGGCCCATAATGGATTTTTCAAACTAAGAGGAAAAAATTTACACCTAGAATCTCCCCAGAGCTAACCGGTGAATCAGTTAGAGAACAAACTCATCCCGAGGGTCATGGGCACAGCTGCCATGTCCCAGGAGTAACCTGAGGAGAACCAGACTTTCCAGAAGGCCTGGAGGGAGGACCTGCAGCACGCCATGCAGCAAGCCTCAAGGCACAGGATGTGAGACGCCAAAATTCTCACAAAGCCGCTACTGAAAGCTTTGTACAGAAGGACAAACGTTAAATAAATGTATAAAGTACACACCTATCCTCTTAAGATGTTACTTAAGGGTTGCAGCTTATCAGTTAGACTGAGACACGGCCCCATCAGCCTCAACCTGCTGGTGCTCAGCCTGCAGACTCTGAGGCCTCCTGACTGTCCTCTTCCTCCCCCTTCTCCTGCCAATGCTGCCTCCTGAGGGTCTGTGGCCACCCACTCTGCCCATTGCTCTGCAGGCCCCCTTGACCCAGAGCTTGCCTGCACGCTCCTCTCAGCCTGCAGAGCCTGCAGTATCTCTCCATCCTCGTCCTGGGCCCCTCGCCCCACCTCAGGACTGCTTCCTCACCTGGGCCAGATGGTCTTTACCTGGTTGTCAGGGTGTCCTTTCTCCCCTCCACCCCTCCTCAGAGAGGGCTGCCTGCCTAGTTCCCATCTCACCCCCGGCCTGCTACGCTGACAGCAGCAGCACCTCACCCATTTGTCCTGCCGCAGCCCGCTGGCCTTGCTCTGGTGCTGGTTCACCACAGAGGCCCCGGGGCCAAGCCCAGCGCAGAGGCCGTGCTGGTCCCACAACATGTTCATGGGTGGAAGAACAGACAGTCAAATAAAGAGTAACAAATGGGGAACAGGCCGGGCGCAGTGGCTCATGTCTGTAACCCCAGCACTTTGGGAGGCCAAGGTGGGTGGATCACCTGAGGTCAGGAGTTCGAGACCAGCCTGGCCAAAACGGAGAAACCCTGTCTCTACTAAAAATACAAAATTAGCTGGGCGCAATGGCACATGCCTGTAATCCCAGGTACTCGGGAGGCTGAGGCAGGAGAATCGCTTGAACCCGAGAGGCGGAGGTTGCAGTGAGACGAAATCATGCCATTGCACTTCAGCTTGGGCAACAAGAGCAAAACTCTGTCTCAAAAAAAAAAAAAAAAAAAAAAACCGGGGAACAACACACAGCACGTTTCCCCAGAGCCATCTAAAGACTTGGCATCTGAGAAAACCCTTAGAGACACTGTCAGGCAATAATTCTGTGGAGGAGACAGACAAGACCTGAGGTCGAGGTCCAAGGGCATCCGTCTCCCTCACTGCACCTGCTGACTCTGAGGGCCCCAGCCAAGGTCTACTTATCCTGCACGTGCATGAAGGAGGGAAAGGACCCGCCACCGTCACCCCTACACCGCCTGGCCAAACATGAGGAAGTGAGATGGCCTGTTCAGAGCTTCAGAACTTGACGTAAGACGGACAGTGTATAGTATGGGGACTGGTGAGAGTGTGAAAAGGCACGGCCACTGTGAAGAACCGAGTTTACCCCAGCACATGACCCACTCCTAGATACAGGCCCCAAGGACTTGAAGACACGCATCCACACAAAGACTTGTACACAAACGTGCCCATCACCAGGAGAATGAAGAAACGAAATACGGCACAAGCACGCAACGGATCGTGCTGGGAAAGGGATGGTGCTGGGGAAGACATTGTGCTGGGGAAGACATTGTGCTGAGGAAGGGATGGTGCTGGGGAAGGGATGGTGCTGGGGAAGGGATCGTGCTGGGGAAGGGACGGTGCTGGGGAAGGGATGGTGCTGGGGAAGGGACGGTGCTGGGGAAGGGATGGTGCGGTGCTGGGGAAGGGATGGTGCTGGGGAAGGGACTGGGGAAGGGACGGTGCCAGGGGACTGGGGAAGGGACGGTGCCGGGGAAGGGACGGTGCTGCGGAAGGGATGGTGCTGGGGAAGGGATGGTGCTGGGGAAGGGATCGTGCTGGGGAAGGGATCGTGCTGGGGAAGGGATCGTGCTGAGGAAAGAAGCCAAGTGAGAGCACGCGAACCCTCAAGACAGGTGAAACTGGCCAGGCACGGTGGTTCATGCCTGTAATCCCAGCACCTCAGCCTTGGGAGGCTGAGGCAGGCGGATCACCTGAGGTCAGGAGTTCAAGACCAGCCCCGCCAACATGGTGAAACCCCGTCTCTACTAAAAATACAAAAATTTTTATATGTTTTGTATTTTTAGTAGAGGTGAGCATGGTGGTGGGTGCCTATAATCCCAGCTCAGGCAGGAGAATCGCTTGAACCCGGAAGGTGGAGGTTGCAGTAAGCCGAGATCGGGCCATTGCACTCCAGCCTGGGTGACAAGAGTGAAACTCAGTCTCAAAGAAAAAAAAGAGAGATAGGCAAAACTAATCCATGGTGACAGAAATCAGCAATGGTGCCAGCAGGAGGGAAGGCACTGCCTGAGGGCGAGGGGTATGCGGCACCCACATGGGGACAGTGATGTGCGTGACAGGCTCCGCACTGCCAGGCACAGGACTCTGTCGGAGCTCACAGAGGAGCAGGTGTGAGCTGTACATTTCACTGCAGGTAAATTTTTACTCAAAGGAAGACTGGAAACAAACACTGAGCTCTAGGGAACGATGGTGGTACGGGCTGCAGTGTTCAGGGCGGTGTGCGCGGAAGCATGCTGATTACAAACACATCCCATTCAAGAGGGGCTGGGGGACAGACTGGAGATGGACAGAGACGTGGGGAGAGAGTGCGACGAAGTGCTGCCTGCAGAGCACGGGTGATGAACACCCACTTGGGTGGCCATGGAATCATTCTTTCAATATTTTGAAAATTCTCAAATTGTCATCATGAAATCTTTGAGGAAGGGGGCAGTTGCTTTCTAGCATTATGGAAAAGTAGTTAACGCAGCAAATTCTGGAAAACAGGGTATGTGAGGAGAAGGTAACAAGAAAGGAAAGAGACCACCTGGAAACCTGGGGTATGTTGGGGGCTTCAAGGAGAAGGAAAGATGTTAGAGTCAGCACGAGGAGCCTGGTGATGTGCAGGTGGCTGAGAGGGTGGCTGAGGAACGGGAGAGGAGGTGGGAGCTCATGGCGGGGATGACTGACCTCCGTTTCTGATGGCTGTGATCCCTTGGTAGAAGTCTTCAAAGCTGATCACGCCGAGCCCACTGGGATCCAAGTACTTAGTTAAGTCCTTCACCTGTAATTGCCAAATGAGACTAGGTTACCCTAAGCCTTTACAGCAGGGGTCCCCAACCCTGGACCTCGGACTGGGAGAGATCTGGTGTGTGGCCTGCTGGGAACGGGGAAGCACAGCAGGAGGTGAGGGAGCATTACCGCCTGAGCTCCCCTCCTGTCAGATCAGCAGGAGCATCAGGTTCTTCTCACAGGAGCGCAAAGCCTACTGTGTGCTCCGCATGAGAGGGGTCCAGGTTGCGCGCTCCTTATGAGACTCTAACGCCGGATGATCTGAACAGTATCATCCTGAAACCACCCCAACGCCCTGCCCGTCTGTGGAAAGGCGTCTTCTATGAAACCAATCCCTGGTGCCAAGAAGGCTGCGGGCCGCTTTAGGGAATCGGGATTAGGCTGTATCGCGAGCTTGGCTTTTTCACCACATGCAAAGAAGCCGCCAACAGGGGCGGTGCTGACAGTGACAGCCTCTGACTCCTCACGTGCAGGAGGCAGCACGGCCTCCATGGGCCACTGCAGACGGTCACAGCCACAGGACAGGCAGCACCCTGTAAATGGGCTGCCAGCAGCACCTGGCGTGATGAACCACAGGAGTAGGACCCTGGCCACTGAACGCCAGCAGCCAGGGTCTTACGTGGGGAGATCAGTTCTGAAGTTTTAGGTATTGTTCCGGCAAGGATCCAGCATGCCAACATAGATATGTTACATAGATAACATAGATAAGCACACACCGCCCATTCAGAAATGCCTTCCTGGCTCTGCAGAGTCCTTGGTAGCGAATAACTCAGGGAAAAAGACCCTTGATATCAAAAATCATAAACGCTAAGTAGGGTGACTCACACATGGACGTAACACAAAATAAAACTCTTCAGAAAGAATGCAGGTTTATTCTGCCAAGTGTAAATTGGATTTCATAAAAATTTAAAAATTTTCAGGGGATGGGGTGGGAGGGGGGAGAGTATTACAGAAAATACCTGGGCTTAATACTCAGCTAATGGGCTGACAGGTGCAGCAAATCACCATGGCACACGTTTGCCTATGTAACAAACCTGTACATCCTACACATGTACCCCAAAACTTAAAAATAAAAATTTAAAACTTTCATACTCAAAAGACATTAATAAAAGCAAAAAAATGACACTGACTGGGAGAAAGTATTTGCAAATCATATATCTGTTAAATGACTTGTGTCCAGAATATATAAGGAAATCTTATAATTAAGAAGACAACTCAGGCCAGGTGCGGTGGCTCACACCTGTAATCCCCAGCACTGTGAGAAACCGAGGTGAGTGGATCACCTGAGGCTGGGAGTTCCAGATCATCCTGACCAACGTGGAGAAACCCCATCTCTACTAAAAATACAAAATCAGCCAGGCGTGGTGGCGCATGCCTGTAATCCCAGCTACTCAGGAGGCTGAGACAGGTAAATTGCTTAAACCCGGAAGGCAGAAGTTGCCGTGAGCAGAGATTGCGCCATTGCACTCCAGCCTAGGTGATTGAATGAGACTCTGTCTCAAAAAAAAAAAAAAAAAAAAGACAACTCAATTTTTTTTTAAGTGGGCAAAAAACTTAAATAGAAATTTCATCAGAAAATATGTGTGAATGGTTGATAACCACATGAAAAAATGCTCAATTAGTCCTTAAAGAAATGCAAATTAAATTAAAACCACATTGCAGCCAGGTGCCTTGTGGCTCACGCCTGTATTCCCAGCACTTTGAGAGGCTGAGATGGGATCACCGAAGGTCAGGGGTTCCAGACCAGCCTGGCCAACATGGCAAAACCCCATCTCTACTAAAAATACAAAAATTAACCAGGTGTGGTGGCGCTCGCCTGTAATCCCAGCTACTCAGGAGGCTGAAGCTGGAGAATCGCTTGAACCCGGGAGGCGGAGGTTGCAGTGAGCCAAGATTGTGCCACTGCACTCCAGCCTGGGCTACAAAATGAGAATTTGTCTGCTAAAAAAAAAAAAAAAAAAAAAGTTTGAAGCTGGGTGTGGTGGTTCACGCCTATAATCCCAGCACTTTGGGAGGCTGAAGCAGGCGGATCACCTGAGGTCCGGAGTTCGAGACCAGCCTCACCAACGTGGAGAAACCCCATCTCTACTAAAAATACAAAATTAGCTGGGCGTGGTGGTGGGAACCTGTAACCCCAGCTACTCGGGAGGCTGAGGCGGGAGAATTGCTTGAATCCGGGAGGTGGAGGTTGTAGTGAGCTGAGATCGTGCCACTGCACTCCAGCCTGGGCAAAAACAGCGAAACTCTGTCTCAAAAAAAAAAAAAAAAAAAGTTTGAACACTGATAAATATTTGATGATATTAAGGAACTGTTCATTTTTGTAGGTGTGATGACATTTTCATAATTTTTTAAAGAGCACTGCTTTTTAGACACATGTACTGAAATACTTAGAAATACCTCTAGAATCTGGGGTGAGGCACAGATGTCACCAGAGGCATGCCTGCACGTTGCTGTGACTGGGGATGGGTACCAGTGCACCATTTCACTACTCTCCACTTTCATATGGGTTTGAACTCTTCCATAATGAAAACTTCAAGAACAGCAAAAGAGAAAAAGAGAGCAAAGAAGAAAGAAGTGTGGGCCAGGGAGAAAGGAAAAAGGAGGCAGCATTCAGCCACAGAGGGGGCAGACTCCTGAAGAAAGCCCCTCTTGGGTGGCGGGCTGGACTGTGAAAATGCTCAGGGACAGGGAGAGGCAACAGGCTGGCAGGAGCCCTGGCCGTAGCCACATCCATTAACTGACAAAACCCTAGGGCCTCAGGCAGGTTACGGCAGATGAGCATCGGTGAACCTGAGGAAGGCCCCCCAGGCCCTGTGAGCATCGGTGAACCCGAGGAAGGCCCCCCAGGCCCTGTGGGCATCGGTGAACCCGAGGAAGGCCCCCCAGGCCCTGTGGGCATCGGTGAACCCGAGGAAGGCCCCCCAGGCCCTGTGAGCATCACTGAACCCGAGGAAGGCCCCCCAGGCCCTGTGGGCATCGGTGAACCCGAGGAAGGCCCCCCAGGCCCTGTGAGCATCGGTGAACCCGAGGAAGGCCCCCCAGGCCCTGTGGGCATCGGTGAACCCGAGGAAGGCCCCCCAGGCCCTGTGGGCATCGGTGAACCCGAGGAAGGCCCCCCAGGCCCTGTGAGCATCACTGAACCCGAGGAAGGCCCCCCAGGCCCTGTGGGCATCGGTGAACCCGAGGAAGGCCCCCCAGGCCCTGTGAGCATCACTGAACCCGAGGAAGGCCCCCCAGGCCCTGTGGGCATCGGTGAACCCGAGGAAGGCCCCCCAGGCCCTGTGGGCATCGGTGAACCCGAGGAAGGCCCCCCAGGCCCTGTGGGCATCGGTGAACCCGAGGAAGGCCCCCCAGGCCCTGTGAGCATCACTGAACCCGAGGAAGGCCCCCCAGGCCCTGTGGGCATCGGTGAACCCGAGGAAGGCCCCCCAGGCCCTGTGAGCATCACTGAACCCGAGGAAGGCCCCCCAGGCCCTGTGAGCATCGGTGAACCCGAGGAAGGCCCCCCAGGCCCTGTGGGCATCACTGAACCCGAGGAAGGCCCCCCAGGCCCTGTGGGCATCGGTGAACCCGAGGAAGGCCCCCCAGGCCCTGTGGGCATCGGTGAACCCGAGGAAGGCCCCCCAGGCCCTGTGGGCATCGGTGAACCCGAGGAAGGCCCCCCAGGCCCTGTGGGCATCGGTGAACCCGAGGAAGGCCCCCCAGGCCCTGTGGGCATCGGTGAACCCGAGGAAGGCCCCCCAGGCCCTGTGGGCATCGGTGAACCCGAGGAAGGCCCCCCAGGCCCTGTGAGCATCACTGAACCCGAGGAAGGCCCCCCAGGCCCTGTGGGCATCGGTGAACCCGAGGAAGGCCCCCCAGGCCCTGTGAGCATCACTGAACCCGAGGAAGGCCCCCCAGGCCCTGTGGGCATCGGTGAACCCGAGGAAGGCCCCCCAGGCCCTGTGGGCATCGGTGAACCCGAGGAAGGCCCCCCAGGCCCTGTGGGCATCGGTGAACCCGAGGAAGGCCCCCCAGGCCCTGTGGGCATCGGTGAACCCGAGGAAGGCCCCCCAGGCCCTGTGGGCATCGGTGAACCCGAGGAAGGCCCCCCAGGCCCTGTGGGCATCGGTGAACCCGAGGAAGGCCCCCCAGGCCCTGTGGGCATCGGTGAACCCGAGGAAGGCCCCCCAGGCCCTGTGGGCATCGGTGAACCCGAGGAAGGCCCCCCAGGCCCTGTGGGCATCGGTGAACCCGAGGAAGGCCCCCCAGGCCCTGTGGGCATCGGTGAACCCGAGGAAGGCCCCCCAGGCCCTGTGGGCATCGGTGAACCCGAGGAAGGCCCCCCAGGCCCTGTGGGCATCGGTGAACCCGAGGAAGGCCCCCCAGGCCCTGTGGGCATCGGTGAACCCGAGGAAGGCCCCCCAGGCCCTGTGGGCATCGGTGAACCCGAGGAAGGCCCCCCAGGCCCTGTGGGCATCGGTGAACCCGAGGAAGGCCCCCCAGGCCCTGTGGGCATCGGTGAACCCGAGGAAGGCCCCCCAGGCCCTGTGGGCATCGGTGAACCCGAGGAAGGCCCCCCAGGCCCTGTGGGCATCGGTGAACCCGAGGAAGGCCCCCCAGGCCCTGTGGGCATCGGTGAACCCGAGGAAGGCCCCCCAGGCCCTGTGGGCATCGGTGAACCCGAGGAAGGCCCCCCAGGCCCTGTGGGCATCGGTGAACCCGAGGAAGGCCCCCCAGGCCCTGTGGGCATCGGTGAACCCGAGGAAGGCCCCCCAGGCCCTGTGAGCATCGGTGAACCCGAGGAAGGCCCCCCAGGCCCTGTGGGCATCGGTGAACCCGAGGAAGGCCCCCCAGGCCCTGTGAGCATCACTGAACCCGAGGAAGGCCCCCCAGGCCCTGTGGGCATCGGTGAACCCGAGGAAGGCCCCCCAGGCCCTGTGGGCATCGGTGAACCCGAGGAAGGCCCCCCAGGCCCTGTGGGCATCGGTGAACCCGAGGAAGGTCCCCCAGGCCCTGTGGGCATCGGTGAACCCGAGGAAGGCCCCCCAGGCCCTGTGGGCATCGGTGAACCCGAGGAAGGCCCCCCAGGCCCTGTGGGCATCGGTGAACCCGAGGAAGGCCCCCCAGGCCCTGTGGGCATCGGTGAACCCGAGGAAGGCCCCCTAGGCCCTGTGGTGAAGTCCAGATGCCGGGGCTGCTACCAAGCAGCAAGCACAGAACCCTCAAGGGCAGCCCTGCTGGAGATGCCAGGACACAGCTGCTCTGTTTCAGGAAAAGGATGGGGGGTGTAGCACGTGGTCAGCAAGGCTATAGCATCGCCCAGGAGGCAATCCAGAGAGCCCGAAGCACACAGGGCACCAGAGCAAGGCCCGGGCCCCCGTGGCTGGCCCTCTCGCCACTGTCAGCCAACATGCCTCATAAAGTCAGGCTCAAACAGGGTCAGCCCCAGCTAAGGGACCCCACAGTGTGGAATTCCTGAGCCAGAGACTGAGTTTCCGCTTCCCCTTCACAACGGAAGAGGCCGGGGCCATCGCCCCAATCCTAGGGCTCTGTGTGCTAGCGTGACTCTAGCCTCGGAAGTCCATCATCAACCAACTTCCTGGAGACAACTGGAGTTTATAAAACATCTCCCCACTTATCTCACAAAAGTCCTCATTCCTAAGCTCATTCCTAAGAATGTGAGAGTCTTGCTGGGTACCTGAGAGTTACCTAATCCGGAGTCCAGACTGGCCAATCTGTCCTGAAGATTCCTAAGAATTTCCACACTGAAGCTACTAATTGAACACAAAGTACCAAGTTGTTTATTCTGAAACATTAACCAAATATTTTTTAAACAAATCATTAACTAGAATAGGCCCCTTTTACATGTTACCATGTTAGAATGAACAAGAGTGAATCAAAGTATACATTTTTAAAACTCCATTTTAATTATATTTTCTTTATAATCTGTAGAACAGATGGATTTCATGTAATTGATGATTTGGGGATAGTTCTAATTCTCCAAGTCCAAAATACTCAATTCAGAGGCTTTCAAAAAAAAAAAAAAAGGTGAAACTGTGAAAAATGAGACAGCCTGCCCTTCCCTGCAAAATCCAGTAGTGGCAGAAAACCGAGCCAAGAGACATAAACCAGAGTGGCCAAAGCCAGCCAGCACCGCTCCAGCAGACGGACAATAAGTTACAGAAACACCATGGTGGAGAATCCACTCAGTCACTGGCTCCAGGGTGACTGCAGTATGAAAAACTTACTGACAAATTGCATTGTTCCTACTATGGATGTAGAAACATGATCCACTAATCTGAAAGAAAGGAAAGCAGAACAAGTTCTCCCACCACAGTCAACTAGGATCCCAGAGACTCCTCCCAGGATTCTCGAATAACACACTGTATTATGGCTTCACAGCAAAGCACCTTTCAGAACGAGAAACCGCCTTTCTGCATCTTGTTGTTACTATCATACTTGAATTATACTGTTTTCAACAAAGCTTATCTTATCAGAAACCACAGCAATAATAAGCAAAATGTTCCTAGGAGTTCCCGAAGCTATCTGTAAACTTCACACTAGATCAGCACATGGGCCAGCGTGGGCAGGGAGAGAGGCGGCTCTGGAAGCCTGGCTATACAGTATCTCCCAATGGCACTGAAGCCTGCGGCTCACCTGCCGATGGCACGGACACTTCTTTCTAAAAGCAGACGCGAAGCAGCTAAACATATACACAAAGGGCTTTCCCTGCTGTTCCCAACAAGTGCTCGTTTTGTTTTGATTTGTTGTTGTTTTTTTGTTGGTTTTTTTGTTTGTTGTTGAGATGGAGTCTCACTCCGTCGCCCAGGATGGAGTGCAGTGGTGCGGCCTCAGCTCACTACAACCTCCGCCTTCTGGTTTGGATGATTCTCCTGCCTCAGCCTCCCAAGTAGTTGCGATTACAGCTACCTTCCACCATGCCCAACCAATTTTTTAGTATTTTTAGTAGAGACAGGGTTTCACCATGTTGGGCAGGCTGGTCTTGAACTCCTGACCCCAAGTGATCTGCCCACCTCGGCCTCCCAAATTGCTGGGATTACAGGCATGAGCCACCGTGCCCAGCCTTGTTTTTCTTTTTCTTTTTCTTTTTTTTTTTTTGAGACAGGGTCTCACTCTGTCACTCAGGCTAGGGTGCAGTGGCACAATCTCAACTCACTGCAACCTCTGCCTCCCAGGTTCAAGCGATTCTCCCACCTCAGCCTCCCAAGTAGCTGTGTGTGCCGCCACACCCGGCTCATTTTTGTATTTTTGGTAGAGACAATGTTTTGCCATGTTGCCCAGGCTGGTCTCGAACTCCTGACTTCAAGTGATCCGCCCACCTTGGCCTCCCAAAGTGCTGGAATTACAGGTGTGAGCCACTCAGCCCACCTTACAGATGGGGTTTCACCATGTTGGCCAGGCTGGTCTTGAACTCCTGACCTCAGGTGATCCATCCGCCTTGGCCTCCCAAAGTGCTGGGGTTACAGGTGTGAGCGAGCCACCGTGCCCGGCCTTAATTCTTGATACTAATATCTGTTGTCCTGCACTTGAGTGGGAATCTTTCTGGTTGGTTCATTTTAACAGAGATAACTGAAGTACTCTTAGAAATGAAAGGATGTTCAATAAAATATTTGAGATGCACTTAGTATAAAGCCTGAACCAAACTAAGGCCAGGCATAATGGCTCACACCTGGCTTTCCAGCATTTTGAAATGCCAAGGCGGATGGATCACTTGAGCCCAAGAGTTCCAGACTAGCCTGGGCAACATGGTGAAACCTCATCTCTACAAAAAATTCCAAAAAATTCGTCGGTCCACGTGCCAGTAGTTCCAGCTACTTGGAAGGCTGAGGTGGGAGGATTGCCTGAGCCTGGGAGGTTGAGGCTGCAGCGAGCCATGATTGCGTCACTGCATTCCACGTGGGCGACAGAGTGAGACCCTATCTCCCAAAAAACAACAACAACAACAAAAACAGTGACAGGGAGCACCTGCTCCAGTCATATCCGATCACCCACCCAAGAATGGACTGACCACTGCTGAGTGCTTGTGAGAGTGTGCGCGGTTCTCAATTCTTTTTTTTTTTTTTTTGAGACAGAGTCGCCTCTGTTACCCAGGCTGGAGTGCAGTGCTGTGATCTCAGCTCACTGCAGCCTCCACCTCCCGGGTTCAAGCAATTCTCCTGCCTCAGCCTCCTTTGTAGATGGCATGACAGGCACGTGCCACCACGCCCGGCTGATTTTTGTAGTAGAGACGGGGTTTCGCCATGTTGGCCAGGCTGGTCTTGAACTCCTGACCTCAGGTGATCCGCCCACCTTGGCCTCCCAAAGTGCTGGGATTACCGGTGTGAGCCATGGCGCCTGGCTGCGCAGTTCTCAATTCTTTGATCTGAGTGGTGATTTTTACATATCACTGTATAGAGAACAGACAAGAAAGCTTATTCTTCAATCTGGTGCATGTGGCCAAGAAAAAAAAAAAAAAGAAAGAAAGCCTAGTTTTTTTTTTTTTTTTTTTGAGACGGAGTTTCGCTCTGTCACCCAGGCTGGAGTGCAGTAGTACAATCTCGGCTCACTGCAACCTCCACCTCCCGGGTTCAAGCAATTCTCGTGCCTCAGCCTCCCAAGTAACTGGGATTACAGGCATGTACCACCACGCCTCGCTAACTTTTGAATTTTTAGTAGAGACGTCGTTTTGCCATGTTAGCCAAGCTGGTCTGGAACTCCTGACCTCAGGTGATCTGCCTACTGCCTCAGCCTTCCAAAGTACTGGGATTACAGGTGTGAGCCACTGCGCCCGGCCAAGAAAGCCTGTTCTTATACGCTTGAATGAGAAAGAGCCTGTATGTGACACTTTCTAAACCTGCAGGAAAGTTGGCTTCTGTTCCAAATCACATTAGCCTCAGGGACCTTGGACAAGGAGTTCCAGAGACAGGGGTGTTTTCATGGTTGGTTTTGTGGGTTTTTTTGGTTTTTGCTTTTGGGGTTTTTTGGTTTTGGTTTTGAGGAGGTATACAATATGAGATGAGGTCTACAACATGTTTCCCACGCTAGATGTGAACGACTAGACTCGGCCAATCCTCTTGCCTCAGCCTCCTGAGTAGCTGGGACTAGAGGTGAGTGTCACCAAACCCAGCTAATTTTTGTATTTTTTGTAGGGAGGCGATCTCGCTATGTTGCTCAGGCTGGTCTCAAACTCCTGGACTCCAGCAATCCTCCAACTGACCTCCAGAGTAGCTGGAACTACAGGGATGAGCCACTGTGCCTGGCTAGAGACAGTTTTTAATTCCCATTTAGTCAGCTTTGCACCAACTACTATAGCAAGCAACTTTATAGGGGGTTATGCTTGGCAGTTGATGCTTAACGACCCTGCTCAGAGTTGGCTCTAGATGAGGGGAGGCCTTTGCTTTTAACTGGGTGTGTGAGCAAGGAACAAAGACCCGCCTACTGGATGCTTCAACCACCTGGAATGATGAGGTCCTACTGGGAAAATGAAGGCATTTGAGTACATCTCATGTCTCTTTTCTTGGCAACTTAAAAGCTACGGTGTGTTTATCTCTAAATTGAAATTTGGAAGAAAGACAGGTAGGCTGAATAATATGAGTTTTCCTACTCTGAATGTGCTCACTGGCAGCTCAGTTTTTCTGTTTGAAGTACAAAAATAGCTTCCTTGGCCGGGTGTGGTGGCTCACGTCTGTAATCCCAGAACTTTGAAAGGCCGAGGTGAGCAGATTGCCTGAGCTCTGGAGTTCGAGACCAGCCTGGCTAACATGGTGAAACCCCGCCTCTACTTAAAAAAAAATACAAAATTAGCTGGGCGTGGTGGCAGGCGCCTGTAATCCCAGCTACTGGGGAGGCTGAGGCAGAAGAATCGCTTGAACCCAGGGGGCAGAGGTTGCAGTGAGCCAAGATCGCGCCACTGCACTCCAGCCTGGGCAACAAGAGCAAAACTCTGCTTCAAAAAAAAAACAAAAAAAAAAACCAACTTCCTAAATCAGAGATCTGTTCTGATTACCCATGATGAGGAACCGGGGAACCGACTCGCTTTCCCTGGTTTAGAGGGGAAGGTTTAGAAAAGTCTAGAATAAAAGCACTGTGCTGGTCTGACATGCAAAATGTCATTCCACAGGTCCCCAGAGAGGCATATCACATATTCAGGAATCCACTTTTATCCATCAGAAATAGATGTGGCCAGGCCGGGCATGGTGGCTCACGCCTGTAATCCCAACACTTTGGGAGGCCAAGGCGAGTGGATCACGAAGTCAGGAGATTGAGACCATCCTGGCTAACACGGAGAAACCCTGTCTCTACTAAAAATACAAAAATTTAGCCAGGCGTGGTGGCGGGCACCTGTAGTCCCAGCGACTCAGAAGGCTGAGGCACGAGAATCACTTGAACCCGGGAGGTGGAGCTTGCAGTGAGCCAAGATCGCTCACTGCACTCTAGCCTGGGCAACAGAGCGAGACTCCGTCTCAAAAATAAAAAATAAAAAAAAATTAAAAAATAAAGAAATAGGCCAGGCGCGGTGGCTCACGCCTGTAATCCCAGCACTTTGGGAGGCCGAGGCGGGCAGATCACGAGGTCAGGAGATCGAGACCATCCTGGCTAACATGGTGAAACCCCATCTCTACTAAAAATACAAAAAATTAGCCGGGCGTGGTGGCGGGCGCCTGTAGTCCCAACTACTCGGGATGCTGAGGCAGGAGAATGGCGTGAACAGGGGAGGCGGAGCTTGCAGTGAGCCGAGATCATGCCACCGCACTCCAGCCTGGGCAACAGAGCAAGACTCTGTCTCAAAAATAATAATAATAATAATAATAAAGAAATAGATGTGTCCACCTATCAGTAGGAAGAGGCCTGCTTAGCACCCAATTCTAAGTCCTTCTTTGTGGCTTTTTTTTGTTTCCTTTTTTAAGATGGAGTCTCACTCTATCACCCAGGCTGGAGTGCAGTGGCATGATCTTGCCTCACTGCAATATCAGCCACCCAGGTTCAAGCAATTCTCCTGCCTCAGCCTCCCAAGTACCTGGGACTACAGGCCCCCACCACTATGCCCAGCTGATTTTTTGTTTGTTTGTTTGTTTCCTTTTTATTTTTTTAAGGAGTTTCACTCTTGTCGCCCAGGCTGGAGTACAGTGGCGCGATCTCAACTCACTGCAACATCTGCCCTCCCGAGGTTCAAATGATTCTCCCTCATCAGCCTCCCGAGTAGCTGGGATTACAGGCGCCTGCCATCACGCCCAGCTAATTTTTGTATTTTTAGTAAAGATGGGGTTTCACTATCTTAGCCAGGCTGGTCTCCAACTCCTGACCTCAGGCAATCCACCGCCTCGGCCTCCCAAAGTGCTGGGATTACAGGCATGAGCCACCGAGCCCCGGCCTTTTTGTTTGTTTTTTTCCTTTGTTTGTTTTTGAGAGAGAGTCTTGCTCTGTCGCCCAGACTGGAGTGCAATGGTGTGATCTCGGGTCACTGTAACCTCCGCTTCCCTGGTTCAAACAATTCTCCTGCCTCAGCCTCCCAAGGAGCTAGGATTATAGGCACACACCACCATGCCTGGCTAATTTTTTGTATTTTTAGTAGAGACGGGGTTTCTCCATGTTGGCCAGCTGGTCTTGAACTCCTGACCTCAGGTAATCCACCTGCCTCAGCCTGCCAAAGTGCTGGGATTACAGGTGTGAGCCACCATGCCCGGCCTAAGTCCTTCTAATCACAGCGATGGGCTCCTTCTTTGTGACAAGACAGGGACGAAAATGTGGGGCTCCTCCACACCACAGCTACCCCTCCCTGACACCTTTCCACGTTCATCGGGATTCCAATAGGCTGCTGCCCTCCAATCATCTTAACACCCCATTCTGTGTTTAAGAAGCTCCCTGATACGGGAAGCATGGGGAGGGTGAGGTGCAGGGGTGAGGCAGGGGGGTGGGGAAGGTGAGGTACAGGGGTGAGGTGTGGGGAAGGAGGGATGGCCAGGGACAGAGGGGACTCCAGGTGCTCCAGAAAACACAACAGTACGGACTCTGTACTATTTCTGTTAACAGCTTCATTGAAATAAAATTCACATACCACAAAATCACCCATCTGAAGGGTACAAATCAATGGTTTTAGTATATTCAGAGCTGCCTCCACATTATTTTAAAGACAGGAGACTCTTAAAATGCACATGAGAATACTTGGAAAACAGCCAAGTGGATACATTCAAGCTTTCAGCAAACATGATGAGGAAATAAAACAGAATTTATGAAAGCAACCAAAGAGTCCACACATTCAACGATGGCAGGCAGAGCGCTGCGGTAACAGAAGGCCGCGGGGCTCCTTCCTGCACTTCAGGTCTGGTCCCTGGAGAAGCAGGTGTGTGCCCCAGGCGAGGGGAAGGTGAGCAGCTCCTAAGGGTGGGGTGGGGTGGGGGGCGGGGAGGGAGGGAGCGGGAGGCTCTCTCCCTGGGGCTAATGAATAGACTCCCTTTATGGCGCTTCTCTAGAATGCGAGCCAGCTGGGACTCCTCAGCTCATAGAACTCCATTCCCACCTTGCTTTCAAGGTCAGCATGCCCTCTGACCTACAGATGTCACTCAGATCCTCGGTCCCTTCCCTGTACAAAAAAGAGAAGTGGGGCCCTCATTCGCCAGCCCAGCCAAGCCCTGCTAGCCGCTGCAGTGTCCTGGGTAACACCAGCCCCCATGGGGACACCCTCAAGCCCTGACTCAGACCTAGACCCCTGAGCGGAAGTAAAGGAGGAAGAAAAAGAAACTAAAAAGTTATCCAATACTTGGTTGGGCGTGGTGGGTCACATCTGTCATCCCAGCACTTTTGGAGGCCAGGGGATCACTTGAGGTCAGGAGTTCGAAACTGACCTGGGCACCACAGTGAAACAAAAATACAAAAATATCTACCAAAAATACAAAAAATTAGCCAGAGCTGGGCATGGTGGTGCATGCTTGTGGTCCCAGCTACTCGGGAGGGTGAGACAGAAGGATCGCTTGAGCCCGGGAGGCAGAGGTTGCAGTATACCAAGATTGTTCCACTGCACTCCAGCCTGGGCGACAGAGTGAGACCCTGTCTCAAGAAAGAGAAAAAAAGTTTGTTGTGCACGTTCGGCAGGTCAAATGGTGAACTTCCTTGTAGGTGGCCTGGGTAGTGACCTGGCTTCCATGTTGTCAAGGAAGGTGTGCCAAGACTAGACCATGGTAGCAGGCAGAATTCTAAGACCCCCTCTCTTGAGTGTGGGCAAGGCCTGTGCATGTGGTGGCACAGTCACTGTGACGAGGTTAACTTAATCTTTAAAACAAAATTTTTTTTTGAGATGGAGCCTCACTCTGTCGCCCAGGCTAGAGTGCAGTGGCACGACCTTGGCTCACTGCAACCTCGCTTCCCGGGTTCAAACAATTCTCCTGCCTCAGTCTACGCAACAGCTGGGATTACAGATGCCCGCCATCACGCGCGGCTAATTTTGTATTTTTAGTAGAGACAGGGTTTCACGATGTTGGCCAGGCGGGTCTCAAACTCCTGACCTCAAGTGATCCACCCAACTCAGCCTCCCAAAGTGCTGGGATTATAGCTGTGAGCCACTGCACCCGGCCTAAAACTTTTTTTTTTTTTTTTTTGAGATAGGGTCTCCCTGTCACCCAGGCTGGAGTGCAGTGGTGTGGTAAACACAGCTCACTGCAGCCTCAAGATCCTAGGCTCAAGCGATCCTCCCACCTCAGCCTCCTGAGTAGCCGGGACTACAGGTGTGAGCCACCACACCTAGCTGTGATTTATGTTAACTTAAGACTCCATCGTAGCAGCCTCCTGGTCTCAAAGAAGAAGTAAGCTGCCATACCTGGGAGGACCATGTGGTTGAACCTGAGGGTTCTCCAGGACCTAAGAACCATTTCTGGCAAACGACCAACCAGCAAACAGGGTCCTCAGTTCTATAACCTCAAGGAGCTGAATTCTGCTGAGCACCTGAATGAGCCCGACACTCTGTCCCGCCTGGTGACAGCGCTGTGAGACACTGAGCTGGAGATATACAGGACTGCATATTCCAGGCAGAGGGAATAGCTACTGCACAGGCCTGGAGGAGGATGTGTGCCTGTGGAGTGTCAGGAGCAGAGTGAGCAGGGGGCCGGCAGCTGGAAGTGAGGTTGGAGGGGCAAGAGGGCCAGAGCATAGCATGAGGAGGACTCTACTGTGTAGAGTGTGGTGGTCTCAGCGGACAGAGCAGGACCTAGCTATCTTTGGGAGCCATTATTTGGCCTACCACAGCCATCTTACTTTTTAAATTTCAGGTATAATTTCCATCCTGTTTTTATTTACTTATTTATTTACTTATTTATGTTATTCAATTTTTTTTTAGACAGAGTTTCACTCTTGTTGCCCAGGCTGGAGTGCAGTGGTGCGATCTTGGCTCACCGCAACCCCCACCTCCCAGGTTCAAGTGATTCTCCTGCTTCAGCCTCCCGAGTAGCTGGGATTACAGGCATGCACCACCACGCCCGGCTAATTTTGTATTTTTTTTTTTTTTTTTTTCTTGAGACGGAGTCTCGTTCTGCTGCCCAGGCTGGAGTGCAGTGGCACCATCTCGGCTCACTGCAAGCTCCGCCTCCTGGGTTCACGCCATTCTCCTGCCTCAGCCTCCCGAGTAGCTGGGACTACAGGCGCCCGCCACCATGCCCGGCTAATATTTTGTATTTTTATTAGAGAAGGGGTTTCACCGTGTTAGCCAGGATGGTCTCGATCTCCTGACCTCGTGATCCACCTGCCTCGGCCTCCCAAAGTGCTGGGATTACAGGCATGAGCCACCGCGCCCGGCCTAATTTTGTATTTTTAGTAGACGGCGTTTCTCCATGTTGATCAGGCTGGTCTCAAACTCCTGACCTCAGGTGATCTGCCCACCTCGGCCTCCCAAAGTGCTAGGATTACAGGCATGAGCCACTGCGCCCGGCTATTTTTTTGAGACAGTTTCCCTCATTGCCCAGGCTAGAGTGCAATGGCGCAATCTCGACTCACTGCAACCTCTGCCTCATGGTTTCAAGTGATTCTCCTGCCTCAGCCTCCCAAGTAGCTGGGACTACAGATGCGCGCCACCACGCTCGGCTAATTTTTGTATTTTTAGTAGAGATTGGTTTCACCATGTTGGCCAGGCTGGTCTCAAACTCCTGACCTCACATGATCCGCCCACCTCGGCCTCCCAAAATGCTAGGATTACAGGTGTGAGCCACTGCGCCTGGACAATACGCTTTTTCATATGTCAAATTTTCTTTACAGTTTTTTTTTTTTCCTTTTTTAATTTTGTTCCACTATTTTAAATTGTCAGCGTTATTTTTCACAATTCATTGTGCCTGGCCCGTCCTGTTGTTTTAAATTAGTTGACCTGAAAGCTGAATGTAACCCTTTGTTCTCACCCTTTCTTCAGATGTGCTCATGTTGTTCACATTAACCAGACAACAGTCTGAGCATGAGTCTCTTAATGAATTTCTGTAGGGAGACAGGTATAATTTATACGTTTTAGTCTTCTTTTCTTTTTTGGAGATGGAGTCTCGCTCTGTTGCCCAGGCTGGAGCGCAGTGGCGCGATCTCGGCTCACTGCAACCTCTGCCCCCCGGGTTCACACCATTCTCCTGCCTTAGCCCACTGAGTAGCTGGGACTATAGGTGCCTGCCACCACGCCCGGCTAATTTTTTTGTACTATTAGGAGAGACGAGGTTTCACCGTGTTAGCCAGGATGGTCTCGATCTCCTGACATCGTGATCCACCGCCTCGGCCTCCCAAAGTGCTGGGATTACAGGTGTGAGCCACTGCGCCCGGCCACAATATATATATATTTTTAATTAGCCAGGTGCAGTGGTGCACACCTGTAGTCCCAGCTACTCAGGAGGCTGCCACTGTGCCACTGAACTCCAGCCTGAGTGACAGAGCGAGACGCCATCTCTCTCTCTCTGACTCTCTTTTTTCCTTTTTGGAGACAGGGTCTTACTCTACTGCCCAGGCTAGAGTGCACTGGCACAATCATAGCTCACTGAAGCCTCAAATTCCTGGCCTCAAGTGATCCTCCTGCCTCAGCCTCCCAAGTAGCTGGAACTACAGGGGTAAACCATCACACTTGGCTAATTTTTATATTTTTTGTAGAAACAGAGTCTCACTATATTGTTCAGGCTGGTCTTGAACTCCTGGCCTCAAGTGATCCTCCTGCCTCAGCCTCTCAAAGTGTTGGGACTATAGCTGTGAGCCATCACACCCAGCCCGTCTCTTAAAAAAATGTTTTTAAAGCCGGGCATGGTGGCTCACGCCTGTAATCCCAGCACTTTGGGAGGCCGAGGCAGGCAGATCATGAGGTCAGGAGTTCAAGACCAGCCTGGCCAACATGGTGAAACCCCGAATCTACTAAAAATACAAAAATTAGCTGGGCACGGAGGCATGTGCCTGTAATCCCAGCTACTCGGGAGGCTGAGGCAGGAGAATTGCGTGAACCAGGACTAGGAGGCGGAGGTTGCAGTGAGCTGAGATCACGCCACTGCACTCCAGCCTGGGCGACAGAGCGAGAGTGCGTCTCAAAAAAAAAACAAAAAAGTTTGAGATATATGAATAAAAAGGACTATATGGAAATAAGTCCTCACACTGAAGTGTGCTTGGAAAACAGGTCAACATGTCTCTGTAGGACACATCTGGACACCAGGCTAGAGCAGCAGATGCCACAAACTTCTACTGTGAAGGATGAGACCACGTGCAGGTGACCCTGCCAGTGCACAGAGCTCCCCAGCTGCACTGCCCACCCGATCTGCAGGCAGTGCCAAAGGCCACCTGGAAGACAGCCTGCCAAGGAGCACTCTTTATGTCCCTCTGAAGGAAATATCTGCTCCCAAGGAAAGCCCACCTGCAATGTCGTCCCCTAAAATAAAACAAGCCTCAGTGCCCTGCCTCTCTGGGTACCACTGTTCTGCTTCACATAGACAACCAATTTCAGATACGGGTCAGAAAGAGGCCAGGGTGATCTTTATTTTATTATTTCAAAGACACGGGGTTTCACTATGCTGCCCAGGCTGGAGTGCAGTGGTTAGTCACAGGAGTGATCATGGCTCACTGCAGCTTCAAACTCTTGGGCTCCAGTAATCTTCCCACTTCAGCCTCCCGAGTAGTTGAGACACGCACCCCCATGCCCAGCACCCAGGGTGATCTTTAGGGAAACAAAGATGACAGGATGCAAAGCTCCCATTCCCCAAGAGCAAGTAGGACCCAACGTCCCCAAATTCTATGATGCACCCTCGTCTCTGTGTCTAGAACACTTTCCAGCCCCACCTACCCCCACCTCACACAGGGGCCTACACCTGAGCCTCAGGACTGCATCCAGAGAACACCTGTACCTGGAGGCTGCTAGGTGCTCAGGCCATAACGTCCTTTTGCCCATCTGCCTCCCCCAGGGAGCAGCCAGGTCTGTCCCATTCTTGCTGGGTCCCTGCACCTGGGCCAAGTGGGCACAAAGCACCTCCCGCCGAGAGCACAGATGGGGAGAAATGGTGAGTGCCTGGAGGAAGGTTCTAATCTGTGGCTCCCAGATTTTCTGGCAGAACCTTTCTCTCCACAGTGGAGCCGCTACAGGAGCCAACAGCAACCCAGTCTCTGTGGGCCTGAGATTCAGCCACCTGCCTGAGGGTGTCAGCCTCAGATTCTCATCCCCCCATACCAGACCAGAGTCACTCCCTTGGGTGGGCAAGGGGGAGATTATAGAATGTCCATTTTTTTATTTTGAGATTTGCTTTAAATTTAAAAGAGCTCCCATATTGGCATAGTACCTAAAACCCAATCTTTTTTTATTTTTATTTTTATTTTGAGACAAGAGTCTTGCTCTGTCACCCAGGCTGGAATGCAGTGGCAAGATCTCAGCTCACTGTAAACTCCGCCTCCTGGGTTCAAGCGATTCTCGTGCCTCAGCCTCCCAAGTAGCTGAAACTACAGGCACTTGCCACCAGGCCTGGCTGATTTTTTTTTTTGTATTTTTAGTAGATTCGGGGTTTCACCATGTTGGCCAGGCTGGTCTCCAACTCCTGACCTCAAGTGATCTGCCTGCCTTGGCCTCCTAAAGTGCTTGGATTACATGTGTGAGCCACCGCACCCAGCCTGAACCCAATCTTTTTTTCTTTTTTTTTTTTTTTTTTGAGACAGAGTCTCGCTCTGTCACCCAGGCTGGAGTGCAGTGGTGAGATCTCGGCTCACTGCAAGCTCTGCCTCCCGGGTTCACGCCATTCTCCTGCCTCAGCCTCCCGAGTAGCTGGGACTACAGGTACCCACCATGATGCCTGGCTAATTTTTTGTATTTTTAGTAGAGACAGGGTTTCACCATGTTAGCCAGCATGGGCTCGGTCCCCTGACTTCGTATTCCACCTGCCTTGGCCTCCCGAAGTGCTGGGATTACAGGCGTGAGCCACCGCACCAGGCTCCAGTCTTTTTTAATAGAGATAGTCTCGCTATGTTGGCCAGGCTGGTCTCGAACTCCTGACCTCAAGTGATCTGCCTGCCTGGGTCTCCCAAAGTGCTTGGATTACATGCATGAGCCACTGCACCCGGCCTGAACCCAATCTTTTTTAATAGAGACAGGGTCTCGCTGTGTTGCCCAGGCTGGTTTCGAACTCCTGACCTCAAGTAAAACACCTGCCTCAGCCTCCCAGAGTGCTGGGATTATAGGCGTGAGCCATGGCACCTGGCCAGAACCCAATCTTGAGAGGACTACAAAATTCTAGGAGCTCTAAAATTAGGAGCCTGAGACCTTGCTGAATGAAGTAACTGCAGCTTTATTCTGCAGGCCGAACAGCTATCAGTATCATAATTTCTTTTTTAATTATCAAGAGATCATCCAACAGTAGAGAAAACTTTTAAGTCAGCACAAAAGAGAGACTCTTCAGAGCCGTTCTCAGCACCGTCCTGCTGCTGCCTGCCTTAGTCTACTACCCTCTGCCCTTTACAAGGAGAACGTCACACCGGAACAAAGGTAGTGAAAAGTAGGCATTTCCATGTTCTTTATTCCTTACTGAATGACGCAGACTGATGGCCTATATCTGAAACTCGTAAGAAAGGATAATACCACAAAAGAAAGAAACCCTACAGAAACTCAGGGCGCTGTCCAGGGCTCCATGTACTTCAGAGGCTGCCTCGGCCAACCTCCATGCACAGGTTGAGAAAGAGAGGCCTCAGGGTGGAGAACACCCACACCACAACACAGACACGCACAAGAACGAAAACACTTGTTTATTAACATGCAGAGGAACATCAGCTCAAATACACTCCAGGAAATACAAACTGAAACTCCGTTGATATGCCATTCTTCCTGTATCAGATTGGCAATACTTTTCTGGAAGACAATTTGGTGACGGAAAATATTTTCTTAAATGCTTTAAACCCTACATATCCAGGCCGGGCGCGATGGCTCATGCCTGTAATCCCAGCACTTTGGGAGGCCAAGGCGGGCGGATCACAAGGTCAGGAGATCTAGATCATCCTGGCTAACATGGTGAAACCCCGTCTCTACTAAAAGTACAAAAATTAGCCGGGCGTGGTAGCGGGCGCCTGTAGTCCCAGCTATTCGGGAGGCTGAGGCAGGAGAATCGCTTGAACCTGGGAGGCAGAGGTTGCAGTGAGCCAAGATCGCGCCACTGCACTCCAGCCTGGGCGACAGAGCGAGACTCCCTCTCAACAACAACAACCACCACCACCAAAGATCATGCTGCAGAAGCAGATGTACTGATATCGAGAGGTGGTAACAATATGTTGACTTAAACTAGGTTAAAATGGTCAATTATGACTCTGGTTTTGTTTAACTGTCCTATACAAAGAAAAATTTAAAAGCCAGAAGGCTGAAAAGATTCACGGTGCTGGATGGGGTTTTTATTTTCTCCTTTATTTGCAAGTTATTATTTTTATTTACTTCTTTTGCATGTTTTTATTTTAAGCGTGCATGATCTGTGACGTTTTCCTTCTAAGCTTCTTGCTTTCGCTTTAAAGGCACTCGCAAGCCAACAAGAGCAGGTTCTTGATTTACCCGTTCCAAATGCCAAGACTCCTCCTGCTTGGTATTTCTTAGTCTGCAAGAGAGAGCCAAGTGTTCCTCAGTGCTGATGAAACCTCACTAACTGGTATTTCTCTTAAAATGCATCACAGGGCTGGCTTCCTGAAGAGGGTTCTTAAAAATTAAATCACCAAGAGGAAATGTCTTCATGGCTTCTTCTCTCCTCACCAGACAGAATAAGCCATGCTGACGGGGATGGACTTTCTCATAAAAGGGCTTTTCATTTCCAACAGCAAAAACGTCAGCCTTGTTTTTCTTGGATTTTAGTAAAGTAAACCAACCCACCCGATGTTGGAATGAAATAAAACTTTGTAAACAAGCGGGAAAAAAATAAGGGGTGAGAGTGGTAGAAGAGAGGAAGAAACATCTGCAGAGATGACCGCTCTAGCACGGAGCCTGTTGTGACCCTCAGGAGAGTTACGCCAACAAGAAAGACCTGCTCTCTTAATTGGTCAAAGGCCGCCTGCTAAAGCAACAGGGTGGAGCTCCAGCTCCTGCCCACGAAGACACAACATACCTTCTGCAAATCACATCTCTGTGCTTTGGGACGACTCAGCAGACACTGCCACTACGTCAGAAAAAAAGTAGCATGACACCGAAAGACAATTCACCCCTGCCTGACCACCCTGGATTGCCACTTCAGAAGTAGAGAACCATGGAAGCAACCAGACACCAGAAGCGGCAGCCCGGCTGAGCGGGAGGAAGACCAGAAAGGAGACCAGCACACTCCTGGTTGGCCATTGCAGCTCCTCCTGAAATAGCAACCCCCTTCACGAGGGTTCTAATAACGCTCCAGAATGAAACAAAAGACCTCAGTTGAATTTATAACTCCAACTACCATGCCCAAACTCCCCCAAGACACTCACCATGGGAATAGCAACCCCATTTCAAAAACCAGCATCATAAGCTGGGTGCAGTGGCATGGGCCAGGAGTCCCACCTACGCAGGAAGCTGAGGCAGGAGGACTGCCCAGGAGCTGGAGGGTGCAGTGACTGTGACAGAGCCTATAAACAGCCACTGCGCTCCGGCCTGGGCAACACAGTGAGACCCCGTTTCTTAAAAAAACAGCATGAGGCCAGGCGCGGTGGCTCATGCCTGTAATCCCAGCACTTTGGGAGGCCGAAGTGGGCGGATCACGAGGTCAGGAGACGAGACCACCCTGGCTAACACGGTGAAACCCCGTCTCTACTAAAAATACAAAAAATTAGCCAGGCGTGGTGGCGGGTGCCTGTAGTCCCAGCTACTCGGGAGGCTGAGGCAGGAGAATGGCGTGAACCTGGGAGGTGGCGCTTACAGTGAGCCAACATGGTGCCACTGCACTCCAGCCTGGACGAGAGAGCGAGACTCCGTCTCAAAACAAACAAACAAAAAAGCATGATTAGAGAACTTCATAGTTCAAGAGTTGTGGAATTCCTTCTCTAGGCAGACAAATCAAAAGTATCAGTCACTCAAAGGCTGTTATTATGTCACAGAAGGAAGGGTGCCTGGTGTGGGAACACAAATGTGTGTTTGCTGCATGACCAAGAAAGGAGCAGCATGGGGCAGAGGGCTCCAGCCAGAGGAGCAGCTGGCACCAACTCCAGGCTAGTCCCTGTGCACATTAGGGTCCGCGTGCGTGAGATCAATTTAGAGAGGCAACGACAGAGTACCCAGCATAGCGATTATTTTATGACTGTTACAGGATACTTCAAATAATTAATTTTCATCACTGGTCTACAGGTGGGGCTTTGAATGAATCGGCAGGACTTACTGGAGGGTGACACAGAGGGGAAAACTCACCCCCCGTGAGAACATGCCAGAGGTCGACAGTGATGGGAAGACCTCATGTCCCCTGCTGTGTACTCCTAGAGCATGGGTTTGTTTAATCGTGGATACGCACGACTTAGGGATCAGGAACATCAGGCTACTGAGTGAGTGGGAATACCAGGTTACTGAGTGATCAGGAACAGGCTTGAAGAAAAATAGGGCCAGGCGCGATGGCGACGGTGGCCTATAATCCCAGCACTCTGCGAGGCTGAGGCAGGTGGATCACCTGAGGTAAGAAGTTCAAGACCAGCCTGACCAACATGGTGAAACCCGTCTCTAATAAAAATACAAAAAAATTAGCCAGGCGTGGTGGCAGGTACCTGTCATCCCAGCTACTCGGGAGGCAGACGCGGGAGAATCGCTTGAACCTGGGAGCTGGAGGTTGCAGTGAGCCGAGATTGCACCAATGCACTCCACCCTGGGCGACAAAGCGAGACTCCGTCTCAATAAAAAAAAAAAAAAGAAAAATGGACTCAGCTGACCTTCCTGTGTTCTGGAGGAGGGCTGAAGGAGCAAGAGGGTGGGAAGAGGGCAGCCAGGCGGGCCTGTGCCAGCACCTGTTCTCACCTCTTCACTTCCTGCCCGCAGGCACAGCTGCAGCTGAACCAGCAGGGATGGCAGGGATGCCTTCCTGATCCCCCAGCATGGCTGGTCTCCAGAACTAACATTCCCAGATTCATCACACAGCATTTTCAGAAGTCTTCCTTCCCATAAGGGATAAAAGCATCTGTGTATTTTGAACATCTTTGTGAGGAAGATGCATCACTGACCTAAGAAACAGTAGGCAGGACACGGCCAGCAAAGCAAGGGGATCTTTCAGCAAAGAGAAAATCCCTTCAGGAAATTAAGATGCCAGCTGGCCAGGCCTAGCTGAGAATGCCCACCAGGTAGGAGAAAAGGGGGAAGGTAGGCAGAGCAAGAGCCTCCCTTGGACTTTGGGCCACTGATCCCAGGGAAGGGACGACAGCAGAGGGGCTGAGCGAGGTGGCTCATGCCTGTAATCCCAGCACTTTGGAAGGCCAAGGTGGGCGGATCACTTGAGCTCAGGAGTTGGAGAACAACCTGGGAAACATGGCGAAACCCCATCTCTACTAAAAATACAAAAATTAGTAAATCTTTAATAAAAAGAAAAAGGAACACAGAAATTTATTGTCCAGAAATGTCCAGAAACATTTCCATTTTATGCAACTATAAGGCACAGAATGAGACCCTGTCTCAAAAGAAAATAAAAGTAAAGAAATAAATATTAATCAACCAAGAAGGCCGGGCGCGGTGGCTCACGCCTGTAATCCCAGCACTTTGGGAGGCCGATGGGGGGGGCGGATCATGAGGTCAGGAGATCGAGACCATCCTGGCTAACACAGTGAAACCCCGTGTCTACTAAAAATACAAAAAATTAGCCAGACGAGGCAGGCACCTGTAGTCCCAGCTACTCAGGAGGCTGAGGCAGGAGAATTGCTTGAAACCAGGAGGCAGAGGGTGCACTGATCCGCGATTGCACCACCACACTCCAGCTGGGCAACAGAGCGAGACCCCGTCTCAAAAAAAAAAAAGAATGCAACTGTTTGTCTCTCACCTATCTGTGACCTGGAAGCCCCTCCCTGCTTCATGTCTTCCTGCCTTTGCTTGGAGTTGTCCCACCTTTCCAGAATGAACCAATGTACTTCTTTCATATATTGATTGATGTCTCATGTCTCCCTAAAATGCATAAAACCAAGCTGTGCCCCAGTCACCTTGGGCACATGTCATCAGGAGTACCTGAGGCTGTGTCACGGGTGTGCATCCTCAACCATGGCAAAATAAACATTCTAAACTAACTGAGATCTGTCTCAGATTTTGTGGGTCCACAGCCATCAGGAGACCTAAAGGCTGAAGAGCTAGGACGCCGGTTTTAGTGGCACACACAGGACACTGGCTCAACATGAGCCCTGTTTTGAAACTTATGATAAACACAAGAATATCACAAGATGGTAACCAGAGTAATACCAATTTGCTAAAACAAGATGAGCTGGTCCTAGTGCAGTGGTGTTTACAACTAACTGATCACAATCGTTACGGGTTGCTTTGGTCCTTCTCCATTCCCACTGCTTCACTTGACTAGCCATGAACAGACAGAAAGACAGACGGACAGATACAAGCATGAAATATCTGGACACAAAAATAGAACTGTACCTACTTAAAGAATTTATTTTCCTCCCTAATCATGACACTGAATCCATTTTTCCTAGCCTGTTAGTCTCAAGAACTTTTGAAAGCCAAGTACAGTGGTGCACACCTGTAGTGCCAGCTACGAAGAGGAGGCTAAGGCGGGAGGATCACTTGAGCCCAGGAGTTCAAGGCTGCAGTGAGTTGTGATGGCACCAGTGCACTCCTACCTGGGTGACAGAGCAAGGCCCTATCTCTTTAAAGAATGTTTTAGCCGGGCGCGGCGGTTCACGCCTATAATCCCAGCACTTTGGGTGCCAAGGCGGGCGGATCACAAGGTCAAGACATGGAGACCATCCTGGCCAATATAGTGAAACCCCGTCTCTGCTAAAAATACAAAAATTAGCTGGGCGTGGTGGCGCGTGCCAGTAGTCCCAGCTACTTGGGAGGCTAAGACAGGAGAATCACTTGAACCTGGGAGGCGGAGGTTGCAGTGAGCTGAGATCGCGCCACCGCACTCCAGCCTGGTGTTAGAGCGAAATTCCATCTCAGGAAAAAAAAAAAAAAATTTAAAAGGCCAGACACATTGGCTCATGCCTGTAATCCCAGCAGTTTGGGAGCCCAAGGCAGACAGATCCCAAGGTCAGGAGTTCCAGACCAGCCTGGCCAATATGAACATACAAAAATTAGCCAGGCGTGGTGGCGTGCACCTGTAGTCCCAGCTACTCGTGAGGCTGAGGCAGGAGAATTACTTGAACCCTGGAAGCGGAGGTTGCAGTGAGCTGAGATAGTGCCACTGCACTCCAGCCTGGGTGACAGAACAAGACTCTGTCTCAAAAAAAAAAAAAAAAAAAGCCGGACGCAGCGGCTCATGCCTGTAATCCCAGCCCTCTGGGAGGCCGAGGTGGGCAGATCACTAGGTCAACAGTTCAAGACCAGCCTGGCCAACATAGTGAAACCCCATCTCTACTAAGAATACAAAAAGTAGCCGGGCATGGTGGTACGTGCCTGTAATCCCAGCTACTCAGGAGGCTAAGGCAGGAGAATTGCTTGAACCTGAGAGGCGGAGGTTGCAGTAAGTGGATATCACACCACTACACTCCAGCCTGGGTGACAGAGGAAGACTCCATCTCAGGAGGAGGTGGGGGAAGGCCAGGCGCAGTGGCTGATGCCTGTAATCCCAGCACTTTGGGAGGCCAAGGTGGGTGGATCACTTAAGGTCAGGAGTTCAAGGCCAGCCTGGCCAATATGTGAAACCCCATCTCTACTAAAAATATAAAAATTAAGCAGGTGTGCTGGCACGAGCCTTTAATCCCAGCTACTCGGGAGACTAAGGCAGGAGAATCACTTGAACCCAGGAGGCAGAGGTTGCAGTGGGTATGGGCCAAGAATGAGCCAAGATCGTGCCATTGCACTCCAGCCTGGGCAACAGAGCGAGACACTGTCTCAAAAAATAATAATAATTACAATGCAATTAGTACAATTCTTTTCATTAAGAATTTTTCACTTTATTTGATTAAATGACATAACAGTCTTGCGCGCTCGTGGCTGCACAGTGATGTTCTGATGTCTATAACATATAGTTATCAGTTCAGTGTACTTGGCACGTCTCTCATCTTCAACATTTATCACTTCTTTGGGTTGGGAGATTCAATATCCATCTGACTTTTTTTTTTTTTTTTTTTTTTGAGATGGAGTTTCACCCTTGTTGTCCAGGCTGGAGCGCAATGGCACTATCTCAGCTCACTGCAACCTCCGCCTCCCAGGTTCAAGTGATTCTCCTGCCTCAGCCTCCTGAGTAGCTGGGACTACAGGCACGCACCACCACACCTGGCTAATTTTTTGTATTTTTATTAGAGATGGGGTTTCACCATGTTGGCCACACTGGTCTAGAAATCCTGACCTCAGGTGATCCGCCCGCCTCGGCCTCCCAAAGTGCTAGGATTACAGGCATGAGCCACCACATCTAGCCTTTTTTTCTGAGACAGAGTCTCCCTCTGTCGCCCAGGCTGGAGTGCAGTGGCGCGATCTTGCCTCACTGCAACCCCCGCCTCCCAGGTTCAAACGATTCTCCTGCCTTAGCCTCCCCAGTAGCTGGGACTATAGGTGCCCGCCACCACACCCAGCTAATTTTTGTATTTTTAGTAGGGACAGGGTTTTGTATCATGTTGTCCAGGCTGGTCTCCAACTCCTGACCTCAGGTGATTCACCCTCCCCAGCCTCTCAAAGTGCTGGGATTACAAGTGTGAGCCACTGCACCCGACTCCTCCTTCTAGCTATTAGGAAAAACAGATTATTAACTACAGTCATCCTACAGTGATATAGAACACTAGGACTTATTCTTCCTATCTAGCTATAATTCTGTCACTAAGAATTTGTTGGCCTAGCAAGATGGTTACGCCCATAATCTCAACACTAGGAGGACTGCTTGAGGCCAGGGGTTCATCCGGGTAACAGTGAGAACTCGTCTCTACGAAAAATAAAAATAAGGCTGGGCGCGGTAGCTCATATCTGTAATCCCAGCACTTTCGGACGCCGAGGTGGGCAGATCCTTTGAGCTTAGCAGGCTAACAACATGGCAAAACCTCGCCTCTACAAAAAACACAAAAGTTAGCTGGGTGTGCTGGCAGGCATTTATAGTCCCAGCTACTCAGGAGGCTGAGGCAGGAGAATCTCTTGAACCTGGGAGGTGGAGCTTGCAGTGAGCTCAGATCATGCCACTGCACTCCACCCTGGGCAACAGGGCCAAACCCTGTCTCAAAAATAAATAAACAAATAAATAAATAAATAAATGAAACATTGGCTGGGTGTGGGGGCATGCCCCTGGAGGCTGAGGTGGGAGAATCCCTTGAACCCACCCCAGGACTTCAAGGCTGCAGTGAACCATGATCACACCACTGCACTCCAGCCTAGACAACAAATTGAGATCCCATCTCTTTTCTTCTTCTTTGAGACACAGTCTTGCACTTTCGCCTGGGCTGGAGTGCGGTGGCGCGATCTTGGCTCACTGTAACCTCCGCCTCTCGGATTCAAGCAATTCTCCTGCCTCAACCCCCGAGTAGCTGGAATTACAGGCGCCTGCCACCACGCCCGGCTAATTTTTTGTACTTTTAGCAGGGACAGGGTTTCACCATGTTAGCCAGGCTGGTCTCGAACTCCTGACCTTGTGAGTCGCCGGCGTCGGCCTCCCAAAGTGCTGGGATTACAGGTGTGAGTCACCGTGCCTGGCCAATGATCCCATCTCTTTTTTTCCTTCTCCAAGAAGCAGGAATTACAGGCATTTTCTAATATGCATTTCTCCAAATATCAGTAAAAATAGCCCATCTTCATAAAGCATCTGCAGATGCAAATTCAATGTTCTATCTAGTTCTTTAATTTACTAGAAAATCCAAGTTTCTTTAGATGTATTTTGTATATTTTATATGAACCTTAATGAAGTCAAAGTATGTAAATATTTTATCTTTAGGGTTTACTTAAATTTTTTTATTTCTACCAACTGTAATGATTTTTTTTACTAGATTCCCTTCTGTACTGTTTGAACTCTATGCTATGTGCAAAGGCACTACTTTTCAAAATAATCAAAATCAGTAACACAACAGGAAATATAGCCAATACCTCAAATAAAACCCTTCCCACCATACGCCCTCTCCTACACACTCATATCTCCCAACACAAAACTAAAAGCACTTTTAATATTTCTTCAAAACTTCTTTCAATTCTACCTGGTTGTAAGTGTGATGTATATTTAGTACATCACTCTATCATAATAACTTAGAAGTGCTAATCTAAGTAAATTTGGAGCCTTTATAATTACCACTTTTATGAGCTACATAATAGACTTAAGTGGATGCCTAATCCTTTTGTCTGATATAACTAATGTTTACATTGAATGTTTCCAGAATTTAAACAAAATAAGTGCTTGGAAGAGAAGCAATCCATAAGCCTGGTGCCCTTAACAACCTTGTCTGCACCATCTACACAGAACTAAACTCTTCCTGTATGTTAGATCCTAAACTGGAACCAGAATAGTCCTTAACTTTTTTTTTTTTTTTTTGAGACGGAGTCTCGCTCTGTCGCCCAGGCTGGAGTGCAGTGGCAAGATCTCGACTCACTGCAACCTCCACCTCTGAGCTTCAAGCAATTCTCCTGCCTCAGCCTCCCGAGTAGCTGGGACTATAGGCACCCGCCACTACGCCCGGCTAATTTTTTGTATTTTTCGTAGAGACGGGGTTTCACCATGTTGGTTAGGCTAGTCTCGATCTCTTGACCTCGTGATCCACCTGCCTTGGCCTCCCAAAGTGCTGGGATTACAGGCGTGAGCCACCGCGCCTGGTCTAATTCTTGTATTTTTAGTAGACAGTAGACTTTAGATTTTACCATGTTGGCCAGCTGGTCTTAAACTCCTGACATCAAGTGATCTGCCCACCTCGGCTTCCCAAAGTGCTGGGATTACAGGTGTGAGCCACTGCGTCCGGCCATCCTTAACAATTCTGAATCTTCCTGGGGACAAGTAAACCTTAGGTTTCCATTAAAGTATACATCTGCCAGGCCAGTGGCTCATGCTTGTAATCCTAGCACTTTGGGAGGCCAAGGTGGGAAGATCACTTGAGCCCAGGAGTTGGAGATCAACATGGCAAAACCCTGTCTCTATAAAAAATAGAAAAATTAGGCAGGTGTGGTAACACGTACCTGTAGTCCCAGCTACCTGGGAGGCTGAGATGGGAGGACCACCTGAGCCTGGGAGGTCAAGGCTGCAGTGACCAGTGATTGCACCACTGCACTCCAGCCTGGGCAACAGAGTGAGACTCTATATCAAAAAAATAAAGTATACATCTGGCAGGGTGCAGTGGCTCACGCTTGTAATCCCAGCACTTTGGGAGGCTGCGGCACGCAGATCACTTGAGGTCAGGAGCGCGAGACCAGCCTGGGCTAACATGGCGAAACCCCGCCTCTACTAAAAATACAAAAAATTAGCCGAGCATGGTGGCACATGCTTGTAATCCCAGCTACTAAGGAGGCTGAGGCAGGAGAATTGCTTGAACCCAGGAGGCGAAGGTTGCAGTGACCTAAAATCGTGCCATTGCACTCCAGCCTAGCCAACAATAGTGAACTCTGTCTCAAAAAATAAAGAAATTTTTAAATAAATAAATATACATCTGATATCAGAGACCTTCAATTTCAAAAAATTTAGGTCAACTACTATACAATCCAGCAATCCCACTACTGAGATTTATCCAAAGGAAAGGAAATCCATATACCACAGGGATGCCTGCACCCCATGTTTACTGCAGCACTGTTCTCAATAGCAAAGATATGGAATCAATCTAAGTGTCCATCAACAGTTGAATGGATAAAGAAAATGTAATATAGATACACAATGGAGTACTTTTTTTTTTTTTTTTTGAGACAGAGTCTCGCTCTGTCACCCAGACTGGAGTGCAGTGGCACGATCTCGGCTCACTGCAAGCTCCACCTCCCAGGTTCACGCCATTCTCCTGCCTCAGCCTCCCAAGTAGGTGGGTCTACAGGCGCCCGCAACCACACCCAGCTAATTTTTTTTTTTTTTGTATTTTTAGTAGAGACAGGGTTTCACCGTGTTAGCTAGGATGGTCTCGATCTCCTGACCTCGTGATCCGCCCGCCTTGGCCTTCCAAAGTGCTGAGATTACAGGCGTGAGCCACCGCATCCGGCCTGGAGTACTATTTGGCCACGTAAAAAAATGAAATCATGTCATTTGCAGCAACGTGGAAGGAAATGGAGGTCATTATGTGAAGTCAAGTAAGACAGGCAGAGAAAGACAAATATCACGTTTTTACTCTTATGTGGGAGCTAGAAAAGTGGATCTAATGGAGGTAGAGAATAGAGCGATTGATATCAGAGGCTGGGAAGCATCAGGAGGGTAAAGAGCACGGTTAATGGTTAGAAATATGCAATGAGCGGTGGCTCACGCCTGTAATCCCAGTACTTTGGGAGGCCCAGGTGGGCGGATCACCAGGTCAGGAGTTCGAGACCAGCCTGGCCAACATGGTGAAACCCTGTCTCTAGTAAAAATACAAAAATTAGCTGGGCATGCTGGCATGTACCTGTAATCCCAGCTATCAGGAGGCTGAGGCAGGAGAATGGCATCAACCCGGGAGGCAGAGCTTGCAGCGAGCTGAGATCGCGCCACTGCACTCCAGCCTGGGCAAGAGACAGAGACTATGTCTCAAAAAAAAAAAAAAAAAAAAAAAGATAAATATGGAGGTGACAGACACCCCAACTTGATCATTACAGTGTATGCCTGTAACAAAATACCACATGTACCCATCCCATGAATATGTACAAATATTTCTATCAATTAAAAAGAAACAGCTCAGGCTAGGGGCAATGGCTCATGCCTGTAATCCCAGCACTTTGGGAGGCCAAGGCGGGTGGATCACGAGGTCAAGAGTTTGAGACCAGCCTGGCCAACGTGACAAAACCCCATCTCTATTAAAAATACAAAAATTTAGCCGGAGTGGTGGCAGGCGCCTGTAATCCCAGCTAAGTGGCTGAGGGAGTCTGAGGCAGGAGAATTGCTTGAACCCGGGAGGCAGAGACTGCACTGAGCCGAGATCGTACCACTGAACTCCAGCCTGGGCCACAGAGCGAGACCCTGTCACACACACACACACACAAAAAAAAAAAAAAAACCAGGTCAAAAAGCAGATTCAAAGCAACATGCATGCAAATTATAACATTTATCTATAATCAAGTATGTATTACATACATTTTAATTTACATATTAAATATTTAATTATCTCTTAATGATATTAATGGATGGGGGGATTACAAGGGCTCCTTATTTTTCTTATTTTATCTACTAGTATTTTACCTACTAGTTTTAGTTTCTTTTTAGTTTTTCGAGACAGTTTCACCCTTGTCGTCCAGGCTGGAGTGCAATGGCAAGATCTCAGCTCACTGCAACCTCTGCCTCCCAGGTTCAAGCGATTCTCCTGCCTCGACCTCTGAAGTACCTGGGATTATAGGCGCCTACCACCACACCCAGCTAATTTTTGTATTTTTAGTAGAGATGGGGTTTCACCATGTTGGCCAGGCTGGTCTCCTGATCTCAGATGATCCACCCGCCTTGGCCTCCCAAAGTGTTGGGATGACAGGTGTGAGTTACCGCGCCAGGCCAGTTTCTTTTAAAACAATGAACATCTATAAAAATAATTTAGCTTCACTGGGCGCCATAGCTCATGCCTATCATCCCAGCACTTTGGGAGGCCGAGGTGGGCGGATCATGCGGTCAGGAGATCAAGACCATACTGGCTAACACGGTGAAACCTCATCTCTAATAAAAATACAAAAAAATTAGCCGGGAGGGGTGGCGGGCGCCTGTAGTCCCAGCTACTCAGGAGGCTGAGGCAGGAGAATGGCATAAACCCGGGAGGCGGAGCTTGCAGCGAGCCAAGATCACGCCACTGCACTCCAGCCTGGGTGACAGAGCGAGACTCCATCTCAAAAAAAAAAAAAAATTTAGCTTCTACCCCAATATGATCTCAATTGTGTACTTTTATAGACAGTCACCTGTGTGTCTATGTCTGTGTTAAAAAAGGTCTGGGCCAGGTGCGGTGGCTCACATCTGTAATCCCAACACTTTGGGAGGCTGAGGCAGGTGGATCACTTGAGGTCTGGTGTTCGAGACCAGCCTAGTCAACACGGCGAAACCCCGTCTCTACTAAAAATATAAAAATTAGCCAGGCGTTGCACGCCTGTAGTCCAAGCTACTCAGGAGACTCAGGCAAGACAATCGCTTGAACCCACGTGGTGGAGGTTGCAGTGAACTGAGATTGTGCCACTGCACTCCAGCATGGGCAAGAGAGCAAGACTCTATTTCAAAAAAAAAAAAAAAGTCTGAAAAGAAATGTAGTAAAATAATGGGAATGTTATTTTTCTCAGGATAGTGGGATTATTGGTCATTTTCTGTTTTATACAACCCAAGCTTCATTTGCCTTTCAGCAATTCAGTCAGCATGTAGACCCAGAATACATACACTCACCTGCTCACACACATACATAATATGCCACTTACACACAAATATCCCACTCCCACATACACACATCCCTGATCCTGCAGACACATGCTCCCACACATCTCACCGCACACACATATTACACACACACACACCAGCTCACATATGTAACTGCTCACACACACACATGCTCACTCTCATTCACACACACTTTCACTCAAATTCAAGGCTAAGAGACTGGAAATGATACAGGGCAAATAAAAGGCGATGCCAGGCTGGGCGCTACGGCTCATGCCTGCAATCCCAGAACTTTGAGAGGCTGAGGCCCGAGGACGGTCGCTTGAGCCTGGGAGTTCAATAATATGCCTGGGCAGTATCACTATACTATACTTCATCTCTACAAAAATAATTTTTAAAAATGTTTGTATTTTTAGTAGAGACGGGGTTTCACCGTCTCCTGACCTCATGATCTGCCCGCCTCAGCCTCCCAAAATGCTGGGATTACAGGCGTGAGCCACTGCACCCAGCCAATTTTTTTAAATTAGCGGAGCATGGTCATGCCTGCCTATAGTCCCAGCTACTCAGGAGGCTAAGATGAGAGGACTGCTTGAGCCCAGGAGGTGGAGGTTGCAGTGAGCTGAGATCTTGCCACTGCACTTCAGACTGGGTGACAGAGTGAGATCCTGTCTCAAAACAAACGAACAAAAAGGTGCAGTCAAATGTCCCTAGGAACTTCCTACTGCCACCATTAGCGGTGCAGGAATAAAAAAACGTAGGGAGATCTGAGCATCGACACTTCCTTCGGCAGCCTATTTCTGCAAGTACTGAAGACAGACAATGCCTACCAAGGTTACTGAAGGACATTCTCTGAAAAGAATCAGTGGCTATTAAAACGCAACTGCTTAAGTGACTGTAAAAATAACATGTAAATTACAGTTATAATCTTTAAAAACAAAACAAAATTAAAGTAATCCTTTCTCACAACACTCTTAGAATTTATTTTACAATCTCTGCTTCATGATAGGTGGCAGTAAATACAAAAGCATCAGTCCTCTCAGTATGAAGGGGTCATGTCAATCTCCAGAGATGGTTGAAGCCTTAAAAATCACCTATTCCAACTTCATACCTAATTCCTGGACACATCTGACTATAAATTCCTGTTTCAAAAAAATATAACCAGAAAGCTCCACTTGCTCCTTTCATGTGCTGATTTCTGCTAACACAACACTGTGTTATATTACACTACACCTGATCTATCACCAGATGACGTAATTAGATCCAAACACACCATGACATTGCTAAAGAAACAGGGACACAAAAGCCATCTGTATTATAAACAGGAGCTGCTTCTATTAAAAATTCAGATAATCCATTTAAATAATTTAAAATGCTACCTTCATAAACAGATTACATAGAAGATACTCAATATGCTACCTCTGAAAATTTGATAAAAATTAAGATACTTGGCCGGGCACAGTGGCTCATGCCTGTAATCCCAGCACTTTGGGAGGCCGAGGCGGGTGGATCACCTGAGGTCAAGAGTTCAAGACCAGCCTGGCCAACATGGCAAAACCGTCTCTACTAAAAATACAAAAAATAGCCAGGTGTGGTGACGGGCACCGGTAATCCCAGCTACTCGGGAGGCTGAAGCAGGAGAATCGCTTGAACCCGGGAGGCAGAGGTTGCAGTGAGCCGAGATCACACCATTGCACTCCAGCCTGGGCGACAGAGCAGGCGAGACTCCATCTCAAAAAAAAAAAAAAATTAAGATAATCTAGTTGTTATCATCAAGGACAGTAATGTGACTGGACTAAGAGTCTCTCATGTGCTCAATATTTTGAAATCTCAAGGTAGAAAGTACAAAAACTTATGACCTTTATTGCTGTTATCCAGTTAATCTGAACTGTTCCCTAGCGTTTTTAAAAAAATCATTAATGTCTTTAAAAGAATCGGTATCTTTTGGAAATATATACTGAAGCATTTATGGAAGAAATGATATAATGTCAGGAACCCACTTCAAAAATCATCTGGGGGTAGTGAGTGGTGAGTTTACAGATGAACCAAGACTGCTAAAACTGAGCAATGGCTACAGGGTTACATAACATGAAAATCAACCTTTCTTTACCCTGTAAATTATCTGTTGCCAAACAGTAACTTAGCTTTAAGAAATCAAGAGCTCTCCTCCATCCCAGGAAGCCGGCCCAAGTCCAGGCACTCAGATCACACCCAACATTGCTTCTTCCTAAGCCGTCTAGAAGAACAGACAAGGAGTAATACCACAGGAGATCCCTTCCACTTCCCCATCCTCACCAAATCCCAAGTCATCCAGCCCTTGCCCCCAACCTTCGAATTTCATCAAGAGCTCTTGGAATTCAGAGTGAAGAATTTTGTCTCATTTCTACTTTGTGATGACAAGAAAGCTCAGCCCCAAATAGCAACACAAAGTTTTTCCCATTGTGATCATTAAGGGAGGTTATGACAAAAGATGTTTCTCAAATAAAAAGAATTGTATGAAAGTCAGTAAGATATTATCACAATAGGGATATTGTGAGCCACCACATCTAAGAAGAGGCATCTAAGGTCTAAGGGCCAAAAGACCTAGTTCTACTCCTGTGAGACCTTGGGAGAGCTATCTGACCTTTCTGGGTTTCCAGTTTCTTACCTGTAAAGTGGGGATGAATCCTGCTTACCTACTATCTCAGAGAACTGTGGTATGATCCAGTGGAAACATCCTGAGCCTCACAGAAGTTCTCTATCAAGAGTTGGGTTATGGTAACAAGGAGCAAATGTGGTACTCTCCTAACTTCTTTGCTGTACTGAAGCAAGAGTATGTTTGGGAGAAGAGACAGCGCAGTAGCCAACAGCAACCAAGGGAGCTCAAGGTGCTCTCCAGCCCAGGGGCAAGAAGGAAACGCAGCAAAACACCTGGACCAGCAACCACCATCCACGCTGACCATACAGGAAAGTATCAGTCACATATTTCACTGCCCATTAGTGTAGGTGGAAAACTACCCTGACAATATCCCAACCGGAGCTAAGCTTGCGAGCATTGCAGGCTGCCCCGCACGCACCTGTCTGCACATCTTCTTAATGTGAACTCAGCAAGGAACCCTGATTTATCAGGACCCTGTGTTTTTTGTTTTGTTGCTGTTTTTTTTTTTTGAGACGAAGTCTCGCTCTGTCGCCCAGGCTGGAGTGCAGTGGCGCGATCTCCGCTCACTGCAAGCTCCGCCTCCCGGGTTCACGCCATTCTCCTGCCTCAGCCTCCCGAGTAGCTAGGAGTACAGGTGCCCGCCACCACGCCCGACTAATTTTTTTGTATTTTTTAGTGGAGACGGGGTTTCACCATATTAGCCAGGATGGTCTCAATCTCCTGACCTCGTGATCCGCCCGCCTCGGCCTCCTAAAGTGCTGGGATTACAGGCATGAGCCACCGCGCCCGACCATCAAGGTTCTTAATGTTATGACTGACACCCTAAATAGCAGTGTGCCAATTTTACCTCTTTTCTTACAGACCTCTTGGCTTAAACATGCATATGTACTTGAACACCCACTTACCAGATGTCTGCATGTGTGAGAAGTCAAAATACAAAAAATTGACAGATGCACCTTAGGGATTTCCTGCTAAGTAAAATATTTAAAAGTGAGCACTGGTATTATTTGATGTCCACCGGGTTATTGGCAGAACACACACGGCCCTGCTGTTATCTCCACTTAAACTTTATTAAGTGCTGAGGTAGACAGGAACAACTGCATCTTGGGGCCCACCTTTCCCCCAGGAGCAGGTGCCCTGAGGACCGCGTGGACCCCTTCCACACTGTACTGTGCGTAGTGCCTGTCCACGCATTTCACCTCTCCTACGAGAGTGGACGTGGCCCTAACGGAGTTCTGCTAGACTTCTGCATTTGCCAACAAGCTCCGAGGCTCATTGCCTTCCTCCCCAAAGGCACCAAAGTAAAAATTCTTAATTCCAGGACTCTCTACAAGCATTGACTGTCTCCCAAATAAAAGATGAAATCTAAGTAGAAAAGATGTCAACCACACACAGTAAAGTAATTGTACTCAAAATAGGTGTCTATCAGTAGGATCTCAAGGCGTCTGGGCAGCCTGGCCTCTGCGGCTAGAACTTGGGTGAATTCAGCCGAGCAGTATCTGGGCCCTCGGGTGGGGGAATCGCGGGGAACTTCTTCATTCAGGGGCACGTCGATCAGGCACCCTGGGGGGGTGGCGATCAGGCCCCCTGGGGGGGTGTCCCCAGGCGAGGAGCTGACCTCGGTAAGATCCAGCTGACGAGGCGCTGGGGGGAGGGGAAGAAACTGACTCCCCAGAATAGAACCTCCTTTTAAGAAGGGAAGAGGGACTCCAGCGCAATTCAACCAGAAATCCAGGGCCGAAGTGGTGAATAAGCAGAAAAAGCAGGACCGTCAGGTCTTGACAGTGCCTTTCCCGACTCCAGGGGCAGCGTCGACCGGTCCCACATCAACCCCGCCGGCCAGCGCGCACCTGCCCAGTTCCCACGCCCCGGCCCGGGCCGCTCCGTACCTGCTCTGCCCCGTAGACCGTAGCAAACTGGATGAAGTCCTCGATGCGGACGAAACCGTCCCCATCCCCGTCCAGGGCATCGAACACGGCTCGGAGGCGGGGGCCGTCCTCCTGACTCCCCACGGGCTCGCTCGGAAGGGGGTGGGTCTGGCTGAGGTCCGAGGGCTGCGGCGGGGACCCGGGACCTTGCTCCAGCGCCAGCTCGCCCGCCGTGGGCGCGGGGAAGGGAGAGAAGACGTCGACCTCGCCCCGCGCTCGGTGGCTGCTGCTGGACCCCTGCAAGCGGAAAGGCGCGCTCTCCGGGCAGCTCGCGGGGCCACACTCCTCGGGCTCCTCAGTCCAGGAGAACAACGGGTCGAGTTCTGGAAGCGGCGCTTCGGAGCGCGGCCCTGGGCCCGGGGCGTCGGGGCTCGCAAGCTGCCCCCGCGGGCCGGAGCGCGGCGGCGGGGCGGACGGCCCGGGGTCTCGCGGGCCTCCCTCCAGCCCCGGGGCCGGCCCGGCGCTCCAACGCGCCCCGCCATCTGCAGCGGCCCCGGGCGCAGGCTCATCCAGGCCCGGGGACTGCGGGTCGGGGCCGCCGACGGGCGCTCCGAGGCGTAGCTCCGCAGGGCCCGGAGCCAGTTGTGCCGCCCCCGGCCCGTCCGGCCCGCCCGGCTCCGGGTCGGGCCCCGGCGGCTCCGAGCCCGGGGGCGAGGCCGGCGGGGCCGACGCCATGCTCCCGAGAGGCTAGTGGTGCGGAAGGGCGCGGGCGGCAGACAAAGGCGCTCAGGGCGCGGCGGCGGGCGCGGGCATCCCCTCGGCGGCGCGGGCGGGCGCGCGCGGGGCGCCCGGGCTGCTGGGGCTGGCGCTCGGGCCCTGCTCTGTCCTCGCCCATCTTCGCACCGCGCCTCAGCTGCCCTCGGCCCGGCGGCGCGGCGGGCGCAGGCCCATGGCGGCGGGGCGGCCTAGGGAGGGCGGCGAGGATCCGGGCGGCGGATGGCGGGGGACGGGGGCCGAGGAGGCCGGGGGACGGGGGCCGAGGAGGCCGGAGGCCGCGGAGCCTGTGAAGCAGGATGAGGAGACTAAGGAGGCTGAGGCGCCTGAGGTACCCGGAGAACTAACGCCGCCGCCGCCCAGGCCCCGCCCCCCGTCGGGCCTGACGTCAGCACGTCCCGGCGGGGTCCCAGCCCCTCGCCGGCTTGCTGTAGAGGCAGGCGCCGGGTGTGTCGCGGCAGTGCAGCGGCCGCGAAGGGGTGTTTTGCTGTATGTCATATTCCTCGTTTCGCCAGAGCGGGGGTCCCGAGCTTCGGGCGCGGGACGCGGGGGTGCTCCGAGGCTGCGAGTGGAGGCGTGACGTGACGTCCCTGGCAAGAGGCGCGCGGAGTCAGGCCTTACTTAGAACGTGTTCCCGCCGCACAGCTACCAGCGGGCGCGACCGCTACCCACGCATGGTGCGGTCGAGTAAACGGCACCGCCTGGCGAGCGAGAGACGCAAAGGGACATAGCCCCCTAGGAGCTGAGCTCTTCGGGGGTAAAGCGTTCTCACGTTGATGAGACCAGGAGGCGGCGCACGCCTGGCTCCGCGGCCCAGGGGTTGCAGGTGCCCCAGGGTTCGCGGGGCGCAGACGCCGCAGAGGGCGACGCCCTGCCCGGGTCCCGCGCGGACCCGGGGGACGCAGGGTCTGACACGGAGTGCGGAGGGGCCCCAGACACGCAGTCCATGTCCCTTGAAACCAGAGGCACGCGCGGCCACGCGCTAGGCCTTTCCCTTAAGCCTGTGACCAAGATCTCCGGGACTCCCAGCGTTGGGACGGGCGCGCTGGCCCACGCCCAAGCGGGAGGATCGCTTGCGCCCAGGAGATTGAGACCAGCCTGAGCACCAAAGCGAGACCTCGTCTCTACAAAAAATAAGACTCAAGAAGACACCCAGGGTGAATCGCCCGTCTGCAGCCAGCCTCCCGAGCACCGTGGCCGCGTCTGACAACTGACCTCTGTGTCTGGGTGTCCCTGTCCTCAGAGGGACACGGGACCTCAGAAAGGACCACAGCCCGGCGGCAGGCATGATGGTGGGAAAGCTAGTTAGGACAGGTGAGGCACTAAATTTAGCCTGTCATAATTTGTATCAGGGAAATGATGAACTTGTATTTTTACACACCATGGGCACCAACACAAGATATGGTTTCGTAAGCAGCTTTGGCAAGAACCAAAGGAACGGAACCTCTGCTTCCAAGTGTACGGTCAGGAGCAGCGTGTTAATTAAGTGAGTCATCTTCCGTGGCAGAATCCCAGGGTACATGGGACCAGACTTCGCGAGGCTGGCATTAGGAAAAGGAATGTGAGGGATCCTCCTCCCCAAACCGTATTCTCATTTTCTTGTAAGAGCTGTACGTGTTCATGAGGAAGATACTGCATTCAAAGAACGAAATCACCAGCAGCTTTGGCAAGAATTCAAATTTGGGCTGATGCCTTCGGCCGGATAAAATTTTCAGAAGCAGTGATAGTGATGTGTCAACCTTTCTAAATAGGGGTGTTAGTGTGGGCGAGGCAGAGACAGCAGGCTCCCTCTGCTTTTATGTGCCGGCGCTGCCAGAGGCAGAAGGCTGGCTTTCTGAGAGCAGGGGCCCGCACGCTCTGTCTGTGCTAGGGCTGGAAAACGTCCATTGCGTGCCCGGCTGGTGTCCTCCATGGAACCACAGCCTGGAAGCCTGCACCTCCCTGCCTGGACCAGTTAGAGGCTGTTCATGAAAGACTAAAGGGACAAGTTCCCGTCTATCCGTCTGCTGTTCAGAGCTACTATCTGTGTCCCCTTTGTAGGCTGTGGGCTGTAGCAGTTCCTTCTTTTCTTTTCTTTTCTTTTTTTTCCCCGAGACAGGGTTTTGCTCTGTTGCCCAGGCTGCAGTGCAGTGGTGCGACCATAGCTCACGGCAGCCTCAACCTCCTAGGCTCAAGAGATCCTCCCACCTTAGGCCAGGTGTGGTAGCTCATGCCTGTAATCCCAGGACTGTGGGAGGCTGAGGCGGGCGGATCACGAGGTCAGAAAATGGAGACCATCCTGGCTAACACGGTGAAACCCCGTCTCTACTAAAAATACAAAAAAACAAAAATTAGCCAGGTGTGGTGGCAGGCACCTGTAGTCCCAGCTATTTGGGAGGCTGAGGCAGGAGAAAGGCGTGAACCCGGGAGGCAGAGCTTGCAGCGAGCCAAGATTGCACCATTGCACTCCAGCCTGGATGATAGAGCAAGACTCCGTCTCCAAAATAAAAAATAAAAATAGAAGAGAGATCCTCCCACCTCAGCCTCTCCAGTAGCTGAGACCACAGATCTGCAGCACCTTATTATCTTTTTTTTTTTTTTGATATGGAGTCTCACTCTGTCGCCCAGGCTGGAGTGCAATGGCGCGATCTCTGGTCACTGCAACCTCCGCCTCCCGGGTTCAAGTGATTCCCCTACCTCAGCCTCCTGAGTAGCTGGGATTACAGGCGTATGCCACCAAGGCCGGCTAATTTTTTGTATTTTTAGTAGAGACCGGGGTTTCACCATGTTGGTCAAGCTGGTCTCAAACTCCTGACCTCAAGTGATCCGCCCACCTCGGCCTCCCAAAGTGCTGGGATTATTGGCATGAGTCACCACACTTGGCCTCAACATGCGTTTTGGAGGGTATAAACATTCAAAGCATAGCCTCCATCTTCTCACTCTGTCCTCACATGTTGGAGAAAGATTGTCTCTTTTGGGCTGGGCGTGGGAGCTCATGCCTGTAATTCCAGCACTTTGGGAGGCCGAGGCGGGTGGATCACGAGGTCAGGAGTTCAAGACCAGCCTGGCCAAGATGGTGAAACCCCGTATCTACTAAAAAATAGAAAATTTAGGCCGGGCGCGGTTGCTCAGCCTATAATCCCAGCACTTTGGGAGGCAAGGTGGGCGGATCACAAGGTCAAGAGATCGAAAACATCCTGGCAAACATGGTGAAACCCTGTCTCTACTAAAAATACAAAAATTAGCCGGGTGTGGTGGCACCCACCTGTAGTCCCAGCTACTCGGGAGCCTGAGGGAGGAGAATCGCTTGAACCTGGGAGGCAGAGGTTGCAGTGAGCGAAGATCGCACCACTGCACTCCAGCCTGGCGACAGAGCGAGACTCCACCTAAAAAATATATGTATATATTAGCCGGCCGTGGTGGCGGGCACCTGTAATCCCAGCTACTCAGGAGGCTGAGGCAAAGAATTGCTTGAACCCGGGAGGTGGAGGTTGCAGTGAGTCAAGATCACACCACTGTACTGCAGCCTGGGTGATGGAGTGAGACTCTGTCTCAAAAAAAAAGAAAAAAAATTATCCGGGGGCGGTGGCGGGTGCGTGTAATCCCAGCTACTCAGGAGGCTGAACAGGGTAATCACTTGAGCCTGGGAGGCAGAGGTTGCAATGAGCTGAGATCCAGCCACTACACTCCAGCCTGGGCAACAGAGCGAGACTATCTCAAAAAAAAAAAAAAGGCGGGCGTAATGGCTCACGCCTGTAATCCCAACACTTTAGGAGGCCAAGGCGGGTGGATAACCTGAGGTCAGGAGTTCGAGACTAGCCTGGCCAACATGGTAAAACCCTGTCTCTACTAAAAATACAAAAACTAGCTGAGCGTGGTGGCGTGTCCTGTAATCCCAGCTACCTGGGAGGCTGAGGCAGGAGAATACTTGAACCCGGGAGGTGGAGGTTGCAGTGAGCCAAGATCCCACCATTGCACTCCAGCCTGGGCAACAAGAGGGAAACTCCATCTCAAGGAAAACAATAAAATAAAAATAAGGCTGGGCACGGTGCCTCACGCCTGTAATCCCAGCACTCTGGGAGACCGATGCGGGTGGATTACCTGAGGTCAGGAGTTCAAGACCAGGCTTGCCATGGTGAAACCCCATCTCTACTAAAAATACAAAAAATTAGCCAGGCATGGTGGTGCATGCCTGTAATCCCAGCTACTTGGGAGGCTGAGGCAGGAGAATCACTAGAACCTGGGAGGCGGAGGTTGCAGTGAATCGAGATTGTGCCATGGCACTCCAGCCTGGGCAGCAAGAGTGAAACTCCGTCTCAAAAAAAGAAAAAAGAAAAAAAAAGACTGTCTCTTCTAATAAGGGCACTGTTCCCATCGTGAGGGCCCCACCTTGCTGACCGTATCTAACCCTAATTATTATTATTATTATTTTTTTTTGAGACGGAGTCTTGCTCTGTCGTCCAGGCTGAAGTGCAATGGCGCCATCTCAGCTCACTGCAATCTCTGCCTCCCGGATTCATGCCATTCTCCTGCCTCAGCCTCCCCAGTAGCTGGGACCACAGGCACCCGCCACCATGCCTGGCTAATTGTTTTGTATTTTTACTAGAGCCGGGGTTTCACCGTGTTAACCAGGATGGTCTCGATCTCCTGAGCTCATGATCCACCCGCCTCGGCATCCCAAAGTGCTGGGATTACAGGCGTGAGCCACCGCGCCCGGCCCTAACCCTAAGTTATACCTCCCAAAGACCTCATCTCCAAATACCATCCCGTTGGCGTTAGGACTCCAATATATAAATTTTGGGGTAGCAACTGGGAAGAGAGAGTTAGAATGGATTTAATGGACAAAATATTCATTTCTAGAATACACAAAAGAATTTCTCAAAAAACAGTAAACGAACAGCAACCCGATAGAAAAACGAGGAAAGAATATGAATAAGCAGCTCCAGAAGAGGAAATTCAGGTGGCCGGTAAACACATGAAAAAGATGCTCATCTTCACTGGTCACCAGGAAAATGTGTGAGTGTAGCCCTTGACACCAATCAGAGTAAGTCTGGGGACACCAGGGAGTGGGGATTTGGCACCAGTCGTGCAGCTGAAGGTCGGAATACTCCAGTGTGGGATCCGCCTTCCAGTACCTGCCGGAGAAACTGCACATGTCCGCAGGGAGATGGAAAGACCTTGTTTCCTTCGGGGATTTGTACTTCTCTGGAAGAAGAGCCGAACGGCTTCAGTGGAGCCTGTTGTCTGTTGTGAAGTGTAGCAGTTTAAGTGAGTGCACCACATCTGCACAATTGATAGTACATGCTATGTAATACCATTTTTCATTTATTTTTTTAGACAGAATTCTGTTCTTGTTGCCCAGGCCGGAGTGCAGTGGCACGGTCTCAGCTCACGGCAGCCTCCATCTCCTGGGTTCAAGCGATTCTCCTGCCTCAGCCTCCCGAGTAGCTGGGATTACAGGTGCCCGCCACCACACCCAGCTAATTTTTGTATTTTTCGTAGAGACGGGGTTGCACCATCTCGGCCAGGCTGATCTGGAACTCCTGACCTCAGGTGATCTGCCCGCCTTGGCTTCCCAAAGTGCTAGGATTACAGGCGTGAGCCAACGTGCCTAGCCAATTTTTGTTAAGTTTAAAAACACATGATCAATGACCTATCTTGTTTTCAAATGCTTTCGTTTGTAGTAAAAAATACCTAAACATACTTGAGAATTACATTGAGGCCGTGTGCGGTGGCTCACACCTGTAATCCCAACTTTGGGAGGCCAATGGGGTGGATCACTTGAGGTCAGGAGTTCAAGACCAGCCTGGCCAAAATACTGAAACCTGTCTCTACAAAAATACAAAAAATTAGCCAGGCATGGTGGCGCATGCCTGTAATCCCAGCTACTGGGGAGGCTGAGGCAGGAGAATTGCTAGAACCCCGGAGACGGAGGTTGCAGTGAGCTGAGATCACACCATTGCACTCCAGCCTGGGTAACAGAGCGAGACTCTGTCTCAAAAAAAAAAAAAAAAAGAAAGAAAGAAAAAAGAATTATATTCAAGAGGACAGACAGAAGAGAAAGGGTGAAGTACAACTTTGACTATATCTATAACATTCATTTCCACTGGGCACAGTGGGTCATGCCTGTAATCCCAGCACTTTGGGAGGCTGAGGCAGGAGGATCACTTAAGCCCAGGAGTTCAAAAAACAAACAAAAAAACATTAGCCAGGTGTGGTGGTGCACACCTGTAGTCCCGGCTACTCAAGAGACTGAGGTGGGAGGAGCTCTTAAGACCCAGAGGTTTTTCTGGATTCCACATATAAATGAGACCATGAAGTCTTCTTTCTCTGACTGGCTTATTTCACTTAGCATAATGCTGGAGTCCAGTAATTTGAAGCTGTAGTGAGCTGTGATTGTGCCTGTGAATAGCCCTGCACTCCAGCCTGGGCAACGGGGCAAAACTCCCTCTCTAAAGTAAGAAAACGTTTAAAAACTTAGCATAGGCCGGGTGCGGTGGCTCACGCCTGTAATCCCAGCACTTTGGGAGGCCAAGGTGGGTGGATCACGAGGTCAGGAGATCAAGACCAGCCTGGCCAATATGGTGAAACCCCATCTCTACTAAAACTACAAAAATTAGCTGGGTGCAGCTGGGCGCTGTGGCTCACACCTGTAATCCTAGCACTTTGGGAGGCCGAGGCGGGTGGATCATGAGGTCAGGAGATCAAGACCATCCTGGCTAACACAGCGAAACCCTGTCTCTACTAAAAATAGAAAAAATTAGCCAGGTGTGGTGGTGGGTGCCTGTAGTCCCAGCTACTTGGGAGGCTGAGGCAGGAGAATCACTTGAACCTGGAAGGCAGAGGTTGCAGTGAGCCAAGGTGGCGCTACTGCACTCCAGCCTGGGCAACAGAGCAAGACTCTGTCTCAAAAAAAAACTTAGTATAATGTCCTCCAGGTTCATCCACGTTGTCACAAATGGCAGTTTCGCTCGTTTCCCGGGCTGGAATGCAATGGTGTGATCCCGGCTCACCGAAACCTCCGCCTCCTGGGTTCAAGAGATTCTCCTGTCTCAGCCTCCCGAGTAGCTGGGATTACAGGCACCTGCTACCACGCCCAGCTAATTTTTGTATTTTTAGTAGAGACAGGGTTTCATCATATTGGTCAGGCTGGTCTCGAACTCCTGACCTCAGGTGATCCGCCCCGTCTTGGCCTCTCAAACAGCTGGGATTACAGGTGTGAGCCACCGTGCCTAGCCTCAATGTCTCCTTTTTTTTAAGGCTGAATAATAAGGCAAATACCTTACATAACTAAATATACAGGCCGGGCGCGGTGGCTCACGCCTGTAATCCCAGCACCTTGGGAGGCTGAGGCAGGTGGATCACGAGGTCAGGAGTTTGAGACCGGCCTGACCAAAGTGGTGAAACCCCGTCTCTACTAAAAATACAAAACTTAGCGGGGCGTGGTGGTGCACGCCTGTAATCCCAGCTACTCAGGAGGCTAAGGCAGGAGAATCACTGGAACCCAGGAGGCGGAGGTTGCAGTGAGCCAAGATCGCGCCACTGCACTCTAGCCTGGGTGACAGAGCGAGACTCCATCTCAAAAAAAAAAATTAAAAAAATAAAACTAAATATACATTGTTTATATGACCCAGCCATTCCACTCCTAGTACCTAGGAGAAATGAAAGTACGTGTCCATGCACCCACTTCTGTACAAATGTTCATAGCAGCTTTACTTGTTATAGCCCAAACCTGCAAGCAACCCAAGTACTCATCAGCAGGTGAATAAACAAACTGGCACATCCACACTGCGGAACACGGCTCAACCCCCAGGAGGACCCGGCGCGGAGCCCGGCTCAACCCTGAAGAGGATTTCACTACTGACACACACGACATCACAGGTGACTCTGGGAGCAATCAGGTTCAGTGAGAGAAGCCGGACAAAAAAGAGTGCGTACCTTATGACTCCACTTACATAAAATCCTAGAAAATACAAACACCAGGCAGGCGCGGTGGCTCACCGCTGTAATCCCCGCACTTCGGGAGGCCGAGGCAGGCACATCACTTGAAGTCAGGAATATGAGACCCGCCTGGCCAACATGGCAAAACCCCATCTCTACTAAAAATACAAAAATTACCCTGGCGTGGTGGCACACGCCTGTAGTCCCAGCTACTCGGGAGGCTGAGGCAACCTGGGAGGCAGAGATTTCAGTGAGCTGAGATCACACCACGGCACTCCAGCCTGGGTGACAGAGACTCCATCTCAAAAAATAAAAATAAAAAACATAAATAGCAACAGAGAGCAAATCAGCAGTCGCTTGGGAAATAAGGGGTAGGGATGGGTGAGAGGGAGGGATTACCAGGTACACGTGCAGCCTGGATAGTGCTGAGGGCTTCACGACGTAGACGCATCAGCCTCATCAAATTACACACTCTACCTATGTGCGGTTTGCCTTGTGTCAACTGTGTATCCATAAAGCTATCAACAAAAACTGCCTGCAAACTATTTTTAACTGACAACTTTTTTTTTTTTTTGGGATGGAGTCTCGCTCTGTTGCCCAGGCTGGAGTGCACTGGCGCGATCTTGGCTCACTGCAACCTACGCCTCCTGGGTTCAAGCGATCCTCCTGCCTCAGCCTCCTGAGTAGCTGGGACTACAGGTGTCCACCACCACGCCCGACTAATTTTTGTATTGTTAGTAGAGATGGAGTTTCACCATGTTGGTCAGGCTGGTCGCGAACTCCTGACCTCAAGTGATCCACCGCCTTGGCCTCCAAAAGTGCTGGAATTATAGGTATGAGCCACTGCACCTGGCCAGACAACTGTGAAAACTACATTAACATTTTATATTCAGTAAATAAACTTAGAGCGAAGTCACCTTTAGGACCAGGTCTCACTCTCCCTTGTGGCCTCCAGCAGTTGAGAGCACAGAGCCTCACTTGTGTTTACTGATATTTTATTCAGTGGGGGAGAATTTGTATTCTCACCTTCAAATTTGGTAAAGTACATGTCTTAGAGTAAAAATGGAACATGAGTGTATAAGGCACAACTGAATTCCTCCTGACTCAGCCCAAGTTTTGATGGTTTTCTTATTTTAACACCTCACTATGAGGCTACGGTGCCTGCTCTGTCTTCCTGGGATGGCCTGGCTGCCCTGGCTCCCACCAGGCCTGGAGCCCTCCAGAGCCCCCGTTCTGCACCCTCAGTGCTCCCTGAGGCCAAACCGCAGCCTGCAGAGGGGCCCTGAGGAGCCAGCAGGAGAGGCTATGCAGAGCTTCGTTTCTCAGCCCCTCTACATTTTCCAAAGCAGCAGCGAAGGGCTAGTTCTCATCACTCTCCTCTTCCCTGTGTAACAGTTTTCCAAGTTACACGTGATGGTCGAAGAGCTGAAAGGTAATTCTTCTTATTTCTGGCGAATATTTCTCATTCTTGCTTGGACAAACACCTGTCAGGTGCAGTCTGGCACCTCCCAGCTGCCTTTGAGGTTTCCCAGGTTCCCTGGCACCAGAGAGCGGCCCTGAGACCCATGCGGTCACTGGAAGGAACTCGGGAACTCACTGAGAACTTAGTAGCAGGGTGTGTGTGTGGGTCATGGCAACACTGGTCAGTGCCAGCCAGAAACCCGTGATGGATGGTCTGCTGACACATTTTCTAGAAGAAGCCTCTCTCCCAGCCCACAGCGTCTGTTGGAGTGGCCACATTCATAAGGTGAGGCCAACCTTCAGCCACTGTTTATTCTTTATTTTTTAATTATTTAATTATTATTATTTTTTGAGACGGAGTTTCACTCTTGTCACCCAGGCTAGAGTACAATGGCGTGATCTTGGCTCACCGCAACCTCTGCCTCCGTCAGGCTGGTCTCGAACTCCTGACCTCGGGTGATCTGCCCGCCTCGGCCTTCCAAAGTGCTTGGATTACAGGCATGAGCCACCGCACCTGGCCGACGCACTATTTTGTATTTATTTATTTTGAGACACAGTCTCGCTCTGTCACCCAGGCTGGAGTGCAGTGGTGCAATCTCCGTTCACCACAACCTCTGCCTCCCGGGTTCAAACAATTCTCGTGAGTAGCTGGGACTACAGGCACGTGCCACCATGCCCAGCTAATTTTTATATTTTTTTAGTAGAGATGGGGTTTTCGCCATGTTGGCCAGGCTGGTCTCAAATTCCTGACCTCAGGTGATCTGCCCGCCTTGGCCTCCCAAAGCATTGGGATTACAGGCGTGAGCCACCATGCCCAGCCTGGTTTTTGTTTTTATTTATTTATTTTTATAGAGACAAGGTCTTGCTATGTTGCCCAGGCTGCTCTTGAATTCTAGGCTCAAGTGATCCACTGACCTTGACCTTCCAAAGTGCTAGGATTACAGGCCTGAACCACCATGCCTGGCTTTTTTTAATTTTTTTTTTTGAGATGGAGTCTTGCTCTGTCACCCAGGGTGGAGTGCAGTCCTGCCATCTCAGCTCACTGCAAGCTCCGCCTCCCAGGTTCAAGCAATTCTCCCGCCTCAGCCTCCCAAGTAGCTGGGATTACAGGCGAGTGCCACCACACCCAGCTAATTTTTGTATTTTTAGTAGAGAGAGGGTTTCACTATATTGTTTCACTGTATTGGCCAGGCTGCTCTCAAACTCCTGATCCACCCGTCTTGGCCTCCCAAAATGCTGGGATTACAGGTGTGAGCCACCATGCCTGGCATTATTTATTTATTTATTTATTTATTTATTTATTTATTCATTAAGATGGAGTCTCATTTTGTTGCCCAGGCTGGTCTTGAACTCCTGGGCTCAAGTGTTTTGCCAGCCTCAGCCTCCCAAATTGCTGGGATTACAGGCGTGAGCCACCATGCCCGGCCCTACCACAGTTCATTGCACAAGAGCCAGATTTCTAGCCCCAAAGGTGAACTTGCATCTTTCCTCAGGAATGTGGATGTGAGGCCAGCAGAAGGAATGCTGTCCCTCTCTTCAGTGGCTGGGCCACGACTTGTGGAGGCGGCTGCTGGGGCTGGGATCTGGAGGCAGCAGGGCAGGCCCAGGCTCACAGAGGCTGGTGGAGGGAAGGGAAGGAGGGAAGATACTCCCGGCCCAGGGCCCCGCATCCCAGCTTCCTCGCTGAGCTCCACCACATCCCTCCCTCAGAGCCTGTGGAGGGACCCAGGATCTGCCTTTGAGGTTCCCCAGGTTCCCTGGCACCAGAGGGGGTCCCGAAGCCCATGCAGTCACTGGAAGGAATTCGCTGAGCACTTAGCACACAGGGTGTGTGTGGGTCGTGGCCATGCTGGTCGGTGCCAGTCAGGAACCCACAATGGATGGTCTGCTGACACATTTTCTGGAAGCAGCCCCTCTCCCAGGCCACGGCAGCTGTGGGAGTGGCCACATTCATAAGGTGAGGCCAACCCTCAGCCACCTAAAAAGCCAACTCAGCAGTTATAAGCTCCACACTGTATTTTCCAAACGGGGCAGGAGTCAACTACAATATACAGATCTTCTCTCCACCTCGGCCAGGCGCCGTGGCTCACGCCTGCAGTCCTGAGGCGGGCAGATCACACGAGGCCAGGAGTTCAAGACCAGCCTGGGCAGCCGGGCGTGGTGGCTTACGCCTGTAATTCCAGCACTTTAGGAGGACGAGGTAGGTGGATTGCCTGAGCTCAGGAGTTTGAGACCAGCCTGGGCAACACTGTGAAACCTCGTCTCTAGTAAAATACAAAAAATTAGCTGGGTGTGGTGGCATGCACCTGTAGGCCCAGCTACTTGGGAGGCTGAGGCAGGAGAATCACTTGAACCCAGGAGGCAGAGGGTGCAGTGAGCTGAGATGGCGCCACTGCACTCCAGCCTGGGTGACAGAGCGAGACTCCATCTCAAAAAAAAAAAAAAAAAACAAGACCAGCCTGGGCAACATGGCAAGACCTTGTCTCTACAAAAAATACAAAAAACATCCAGGCATGGCGGTGTGTGCCTGTGGTCCCAGGTACCCAGGAGGCTGAGGTGGGAGGATCGCTTTAGCCCAGGAGTTTGGAGGGTGCAGTGAGTTATGTTTGTGCCACTGCACTCCAGCCTGGCTGACAGAGCCAGACCCTGTCTCTGACAAAAACAAAACAAAACAAAAAACAAATCTTTTTTCCTCCTTGTCAGGAAGTAAAAGCCTGAATACATTCAGGGTCTGGTGTGACAGTGAGCTGGGAGCTCGGAGGAACAGAGTGGGGACCGCAGGGCTGAGGGGCATACCTGATGGGAGCTGCTCCCCTCCTGTGAGGGCAGCCATGGGGGCCCTGGTGGGCACAGCCACACACCTCCCTCCAGCCTCCTGCTGCTCAGCACCTCCCACGTGCAGCAGGGCTGGGGGCCATGTCGACAGAGGAGGAAAGCTGTGGCAGTGACCAAACCCAGGAGAGAGGCAACCAGTGGCCTGGCTGGTCCTGGGCCCAACATTCAGTGTCGGCTGCATCTGAGCACGCGGCCTCTGCCAAGAGAGCAGCACCCTGCCTGTAGACTGGGGCTTCCAGCATGAGGCAGGAAGAGTGTTCTAAACGTCACAGAAGGCCTGGCGTGGTGGCTCACGCCTGTGATCCCAGCACTTTGGGAGGCTGAGGCGGGCGGATCACCTGAGGTTGGGAGTTCAAGACCAGCCTGGGCTAACATGGTGAAACCCCGTCTCTACTAAAAATACAAAATTAGCCGGTCATGGTGGCGGGCGCCTGTAATCCCAGCTACTCGAGAAGCTGAGGCAGGAGAATCGCTTGAACCTGGGAGGCGGAGGTTGCAGTGAGCTGAGATCGCACCACTGCACTCCCGCCTGGGCAACAAGAGCGAAACACTCTCAAAAAAAATAATAGGCCAGATGCGGTGGCTCACGCCTGTAATCCCAGCACTTTGGGAGGCCGAGGCAGGCGGATCACAAGGTCAGGAGATTGAGACCATCCTGGCTATTATGGTGAAACCCCGTCTCTACTAAAAATACAAAAAATTAGCCGGGCGTGGGGGCGGGCGCCTGTAGTCCCAGCTACTAGGGAGGCTGAGGCAGGAGAATAGCGTGAACCCGGGAGGTGGAGCTTGCAGTGAGCCAAGATCGCACCACTGCACTCCAGCCTGGGCAACAGAGCGAGACTCCATCTCAAAAAATAAAAAAATAAAAATTAAAATTAAAAATAAAAAATAAAGCCAGGTGCAGTGGCTCACGCCTGTAATCCCAGCACTTTGGGAGGCCAAAGCGGGCAGATCATGAGGTCAGGAGATCGAGACCATCCTGGCTAACAAGGTGAAAACCCATCTCTACTAAAAATACAAAAATTAGCCAGGCGTGGTGGTGGGCACCTGTAGTCCCAGCTACTCCGGAGGCTGCGGCAGGAGAACGGCGTGAACCCGGGAGGCGGAGCTTGCAGTGAGCCGAGACTGCGCCACTGCTCTCCAGCCTGGGCGACAGAGCGAGACGCCGTCTCAAAAAAAAAAAAAAAAGAAAGAAAACAAAACTACTACTAATAATAAGTAAACATCACAGAAAAGACAGAAAGGAAACACAACCCCTAAACGATAGGATCACCAGCAATTCTCTTTAATCCTCTTTCTTTTCCTTCTAAAAGCTTTTGCAAAGTCCAATTTATTTTTACAGTAAATAGATTATCTTTTAAGAAAACGCACTAGCAAGATTGTAGCAAAGTGTGTTTATGCAAACAGGTGGTGCAGAGACAGAGGGGCGGACCTTGTGGGCAGCTGGAGGACCATCCCAGCTCATGGGCCACGCACAGATGGGAGCACCTCAGTGTTTTCAGCCAAGAGAACACAAGTCTCGGGATCCATGTGGCTCCCTCAGGCCCTGGACCCAGGCAGGCAGGACACCCTTGACCATGGGGCAGGGGACATCCCAGCATCTTGTCTGTACCCCCACCACCTGCGTGGCACCTGGTCCTCAGACACCTGCGTGGCACCTGGCCCTCAGGCACCTGCGTGGCAGCTCCACGGGCCAGGCCCACTGTCCAGTTGCTCCTGCCCTGGAGTTGGGGCCGTGGGGAGGGAAAGCGCAGTAATAGCTGAGTGTTCAGAGGAGGGGCTGGGCTGCAGGCATTGCTGGTTCAGATTGGTGCTCTCCACCTGGCTGAGTGAGGCGGCAGGAAGCAGCGGCCGGAAGATTCCTGCAGGAGTTTCAGAACTTAGTAGCCGGCTGAGGACGGCTTCCCCCTAAAACACCTCGGCTGCCTCGGCCACCCAGCACCTGCCAGAAATGCCGGCAGAGGCCGAGGCCGCTACAGAAGAGCAAGTACACCAGCGCCCGCCTCCTGCTCAGCCCCACTGGGCAGCACCCATGTGTGGGCAGGCTGGCGCAGGGGCCGGGAGGATGGGGACAAAGGAGACGCCAGCCCCGTGGGTCCCGCAGAGACCTGCCCATGCAGTGACCAGCGTCCAAGGACACAGATGACCCCAAGAAGCGGGAGCAGTACCTCACCTAGAGCTTAGCAGAGAAGGATGCGAAATCCGGCAGCCCTTTGACACCGTTTGGGAACGTCAACCATGCCCCGCCATCGGCCACCAGCACGGCCCCCGTCACGTAGGAAGCCAGAGGGCTGGCCAGGTAGAGCACGCTGTGGGCGATCTCGGTCTTGTTCCCCAGCCTCTGCAGCGGGCTGGCAGTGACCTTGGTGCTCAGGCTGGCCTGAGGGCCACCTGGAGGGCAGCAGAAGGCTCAGGCCCCGTGAGCCCCAAGACCCAGCACCCTCCCCTCTCCCCCAGCTCATTCCCTGAGAGGCATCTGGGAACAGCAAGGACACAGTCAGTGTCACCAAGGCCTAGCATGGAGCAGGATCAGGCCAGGCACAGAACATAGTTGCCACCATGGAACCAGCACAGGGCTTTTCAACATACACCCTGCCAAGGTTCTGGAAGCTTCATGGGCACCCTGTGCCCCAGGAGAGGATCTGTGGGAGGCCTGGGCTCCCTGAGAGCCTTACCCAGTCGCCGGAGCCCCTCTGTGCCACTGATGGGGCCAGGGGCGAGGCTGTTGACGCGGATGTTTTGGGGACCCCACTCCACAGCCAAGTGCCGCGTCATCGCGTCTGCACAGAAGAAAGTTGGATATGAAAGGGCCGCTCTGCCCTCTGCGAGGGCGCAGGGCCAAGGCCAGGTCTCGCTGCCTGCAGCTGGGCTCAGCTTCAAGTGGAGACTGCTGGCCTCCTGGGATGGAAGCAGACGGCCCATTGGGGACCCACGTGGGCAAACCTGGGCGGGGGGGGGTGGTCATACCCACAGCGGCCTTGGCGGAGCCTGCATGCACCTGGAGCGCCTGCCCCCGGTTCCCCAGGGTGGCAGTGATGTTCACGATCACCCCTCCGTGGTCCTGCAACACACAAGGCCCGGGGCAGTGAGCGGGCGGGTGTCGGGGGAGGTCACAGGACAGTGAGCGGGTGGCTGTCAGGGGGAGGCCCGGGGCAGGGAGCGGGCGGCCGTCAGGGGGAGGCCCAGGGCAGGGAGCGGGCGGCCGTCATGGGGAGGCCCAGGGCAGGGAGCGGGCGGCCGTCAGGGGGAGGCCCCCGCTGGGAGTACACCCACCCGGAAGAACTTCTCACAGAGCGCACAAGGCACCCACCCGGAAGAACTTCTCACAGAGCGCACGAGGCACCCACCCGGAAGAACTTCTCACAGAGCGCACGAGGCACCCACCCGGAAGAACTTCTCATAGAGCACACGAGACACATTGAAGGTGCCGCTGGTATCGATGTCCATCACGGTCTTGAAGGCGTTGAAGGACAAGGCGCCAGCGGGGCACAGGAAGTTCCCGGCCGCACCTGCAGAATGGGAGACCGCAGGAGCTGCTGGAGCCTGGGGAGAGGGATGCCAAGTGGGTGGTGGCCAGGTGGGCAGAGCGGAGGGTGCAGGAGGGAGCCCAGGTGCCCTGTGGCACAGGGAGGAGACCCATGCCCTAGGATAAATTCCAAAATGACCAGAGCAAGACGGGCGTCCTGGCTGCACTGTGTCCCCGAGAAGAGAAGACATGCTGAAGCCCTGGCTCCGTACCTGCGACTGTGGCCTTGTTTGGAAATGGGGTGGGTTGCAGAGATAATCGAATTACACTGAAGTCACAACGAATTAGGGTGAGCCCTAAATCCAATGACCAGCATCCTTATAACAAGGGAAGAGGACACACAGACACACGCCACGGGAAGACAGTGGCAGACAGTGCAGCGACGGTCTCCGAGCCCGGGAGGGCCAAGGGCTATGGCAGTACCCGAAGCCACGCAGAAGGCAGGAAGAGGCTCTCCCCTGGGGCCTTCAGAGAGCATAGCTCTGCCGACGCCTTCCCCTTGGACGTTCTGGCCTCCAGAACTGGGAGATTATATTTCGGTTGTTTTACCCACACAGGTCGTAGTACTCTGTTAGCCCAGGAAACTAATACACAGGATGTTTTTAAAAGGGAATTTCTGCAGAGTGAAACCAGTGTTGGTTCATCAATTGTAACAAACGCAAGATGTTAACAGGGAAAACTGTAGGTGGGAGTATGGAATTCCATATACTATTAATTATTCTATAAACCTAAAACTGTGATTTAAAAAAAAAAATCGGCCAGGCGTGGTGGCTCACGCCTGTAATCCCAGCACTTTGGGAGGCTGAGGCGGGCGGATCACGAGGTCAGGAGATCGAGACCATCCTGGCTAACATGGTGAAACCCCATCTCTAGTAAAAATACAAAAAGTTAGCCAGGCGTGGTGGCAGGCACCTGTAGTCCCAGCTACTGGGGGACTGAGGCAGGAGAATGGCATGAACCCGGGAGGCGGAGCTTGCAGTGAGCCAAGATTGCGCCACTGCACTCCAGCCTGGGCGACACAGCAAGACTCTCTCAAAAAATAAAAATAAAAATCAATAAAAATAAAAAATAAAGAAATAAAAATAAAAGCTGGGGGCCAGGCGCGGCGGCTCACGCCTGTAATCCCAGCACTTTCGGAAGCCAAGGCGGGCGGATCACCTGAGATCAAGAGTTCGAGACCAGTCTAAACAATATGATGAAACCCCATCTCTATTAAAAATACAAAAATTAGCCAGGTGTGGTAGCGGGCGCCTGTAATCCCAGCTACTTGGGAGGCTGAGACGGGAGAATTGCTTGAACCCGGGAGGCGGAGGGTGCTGTAAGCTGAGATTGTACCATGGTACTCCAGCCTGGGCAACAAGAGCGAAACTCCCTCTAAAAAAAAAAAAAAAGCTAGGCCAGGCTAGCTTCTATTTTATTGATGACTCTTGCTTGTAATCCCAGCATTTTGGGAGGCCAAGGCAGGAAGATTGCTTGAGCCTAGGAGTTTGAGACTGGCCTGAGCAACACACACTAAGACCCTGTCTCTACAAAAAATAAAAAATATAAAAATTAGCCAGGCGTGATGGCACACGTCTGTAGTCCCAGCTCCTCAGGAGGCTGGGGCAGGAGGATGGCTTGAGCCCAGAAGGTGGAGGCTGCAGTAAGCCATGATCACACCAGCCTGGGTGACAGAGTGAGATGCTGTCTAAAAAAAAAAAAAAGGCTATTACTTTTTTTTTTAAAGACGGAATTTCAGGACACAAGGGCACCCGACTCTACCATTGAGCTGTGTTCATGGCGTCCACTTGGGCTGCAGCTGTGCTGACCTGCTGCCACCCAGAGAAGCGGAGTCAGGCCGGAGACAGAGGGCCAGAGACAGAAGGCGGGACACAAAGGCCTGGAGACAGAGGGCCAGAGACAGAGGGCCAGAGACAGAAGCCCGGAGACAGGGGGCCGGAGATGGGGCCGGAGACAGAGGCCCAGAGACAGGGGGCCGGAGACAGAGGCCCGGAGACAGAGGCCCGGAGACAGGGGGCCGGAGACAGGGGGCCGGAGACAGAGGCCCGGAGACAGAGGCCCGGAGACAGGGGGCCGGAGACAGAGGCCCGGAGACAGGGGCCCGGAGACAGAGGTCCGGAGACAGGGGGCTGGAGACAGGGGCCCGGAGACAGGGGCCCGGAGACAGAGGGCCGGAGACAGAGGCCCGGAGACAGGGGCCCGGAGACAGGGGGCCGGAGACAGAGGCCCGGAGACAGGGGCCCGGAGACAGGGGGCCGGAGACAGAGGCCTGGAGACAGGGGCCCGGAGACAGGGGGCCGGAGATGGGGCCGGAGACAGAGGCCCGGAGACAGGGGGCCGGAGATGGGGCCGGAGAGAGACGCCCGGAGACAGAGGCCCAGAGACAGGGGGCCGGAGATGCGGCCGAAGACAGAGGCCCGGAGACAGAGCCCGGAGACAGAGGCCCGGAGACAGGGGCCCGGAGACAGGGGGCCGGAGATGGGGCCGGAGACAGGGGGCCGGAGCCTGAGTCTTGGCCTCAGGTACCTGGATGGGGTGCAGCCCACCCCAGCACAGGCAGCTAGGTTCCCTGGCATGGTCCCCACCCCATGACCAGAGTTCTAGGGCCTCCAAATGGTACCACCAACCTGTGAGAAGCCACCAACCTCACTCAGCACCGACTCACAGTTAATGAGAATGTCGATTCTGCCAAACTCCTTCAGAGCCTGGTCCACGGCGGCCATGACAGCTGGGGGCGCTCGGACGTCCATAGAGAGAGGGAGGCAGCGCCGGCCGGTGGCCCCAGCCAGCTTCCTGGCGGCCTAGAAGCCAGGTAAAGAGGCAGACAGCAGCCCTGCAGCCTCGGCCTGGAGAAAAGGCCTTTGGAATCTGCAGAGGACGATGCTTCCGGGTTCCTCGGGGACCCTGGGTTTGCTGCTGGACCCCACTCTGGGGAAGCACAGCCTGCAAGTGCCCACGACCCCAGTGGATGTTTGTGGGAACCTGCCACGCTCTCCCCCCACCTGCCACCTGTCCTAGAATCCTCCCTCTGCGTCGCCCTCCAGGCCACTGTCACCCATGTCCTGCCCCTGCTGCAGACCAGAGGTGGCACAGGTGAGACTCTCCTCCCAGGTCGAGGGCTCCAGTAGGTGGGACGCACGGACCACCTAAATAACCCAGGTGAGCCCAGAGGTCTTTCTTGGGGCCACATTACCCCCAAACAGGAAGGTCCCTCCCAGAACCCAATAACTAGATTTTTTAAAAAGTCAAAGATGTCTCTGGGAGGCCACTTACACTGAAGCTCCATATTTAGGATAGGTGCAAGTTTTGGTGCCGGCTGGGCACAGTGGTTCACACCTGTAATCCTGGCACTTTGGGAGGCTGAGGTGCCGGCCGGGCACAGTGATTCACACCTGTAATCCTGGCACTTTGGGAGGCTGAGGTGCCGGCCGGGCACAGTGGTTCACACCTGTAATCCTGGCACTTTGGGAGGCTGAGGTGGGCGGATCACCTGAGGTCAGGAATTCGAGACCAGCCTGGTCAACGTGGTGAAAACCCATCTCTACCAAAAAAATGCAAAAATTAGCCAGGCGTGGTGGCGGGCACCTGTAGTCCCAGCTACTCCGGAGGCTGAGGCAGGAGAATCGCTTGATCCTGGGAGGTGGAGGCTGCAGTGAGCCGAGATCGCACCACCACACTTCAGCCTGGGTGACAGAGCGAGACTCCCGTCTCAGAAAAAAAAAGTTTTGGTGCCAACATCCCCATAGCCTCTGGACTCTCCTGGCCCAGGCCCAGCCCCAGCCCCCCCACAGCCACCCGAACAGGGGACCATGGGAGAGGCCCTCTCACCGTCAGCACTCGCGGCAGGCTCCTACTGGCAATCACCGTATGGCAGCCGTGCCTGCAAAACCAGAAGCAGGTGTGAGGGCAGTGTGGGCGAGGGGCACTCCCGGGGCATCTGCCCAGCTCCTGAGCAGGAGTCTCTCAGGCGGAAGTACCAGTCCAGGCTGAAGGCCCAGCTGGCAGAGGGCACAGGGGCGTGAACAGGACTGAGGTACTCTGGAGGGACCTCAGGTGGTGCCCACCCCGGGGTTTCTGGCATGGGACATCCCACCGCACAGGCCTGCGGGTCCTGCCCCAAACACCAGGTACAGAGACAGCTGTGAGCCACAGACGCCCAGCCCACACATCTGCCTGGGGCCTGCTGGGCCCACATTCTCCACCCCCTTCTCCCTGTGGGGCTGGCGTGGAGGACTGTTCTGAAGCGGGGTGCTCCCTGCTCCCCTTCCTGACCACGTGGATGCGAATCCACCACGTTGGCCTCTATGAACCCTGGTTCCAGGAATGCCGCTAGGATTTCCAGCTTATCTACTGTTCTTGCGAAAGAGCACAAAGAAGTCCTGCCTTTAGGTCAAAACCACCTTGATGTTATCCTAAACAAATTCCTACACACTCCCTCTGAAGCAGGACCCCTTTCCCTGTGGTATAGAAGCCCTGGGCCTGGGGGTAACAGCATGGAGACGCCCGTCTCACAGCCACCCAAGACTACGCTTCTGCCCACAAATTCCCTGGTAAAATCACCTGACACAGACAAACGGGATCTGTCTGCCTTGTTCTTTGGTTTCTCGGCTCTTCTGGTTCGGGGGTTGCTTGCCCACAATAACCATAAAGGTAGCTACCCCTGCTAGGCAGGTCCCACTGGAGCTGCAATGTCCCATCTGGTCCTCAGATGCCCTGAGCACAAAGCCACCAGTGGAAAGGCCATATCTCTTCCTGTGGGACTCACCTTTTTGGTCTGAAAAGCAGGGGCCTCAGGGGAACTGAGGAAGGGTCCCTTTCCCCCACCCCAGCCTAACTCTAGCCACTGTCAGGTGGGATAAGTTGCTGACCCTGGCCTGAAGCCACAGAATTGTGTCCCAGGAGAAAATGTGCTCTGCAGGGCGCCAGCACTGGGGCCCGACACAGCCCTGACTCTCGAGGTCCCAGCAGGCCCCAGACCAGAGCCACACAATCTCCACTGACCTGTAGGGGCCTTGAAGTCCTGACTCCCCCCAGGGCAATCCTCGACCGCTCCCCAGTCCCTCTGGCAGGCACCTGGATCCTGTCGGGTAGGTGAGCAGGGGACATCTACCTCCCACCAACATCTTTCCAGGGGTCGGGCATCCAGCAGGGCCCGGGCAGGGAGAAGCGAGGAGCAGGGAAGGGACACAGAGCAGTCTCACCGCATGAAAATCTCAGCAATCCGGAACCCAATCCCAGAGCCGCCTCCTGTGATGAAGGCCACTTTGTCCCTGAGAATAAAAAAGGAGGCTCTTTTAAAAGAGCCCTATTGGGCCGGGCCGGTGGCTCCCAGCACTTTGGAAGGCCAAGGTGGGTGGGCCACAAGGTCAGGAGATCGAGACCAGCTTGGACAATATGGTAAAACCTCGTCTCTACTAAAAATACAAAAATCAGCTGGGCGTGGTGGTGGGTGCCTGTAGTCCTAGCTACTTGGGAGGCTGAGGCAGGAGAATAGCTTGAACCCGGGAGGCAGATGTTGCAGTGAGCCGAGATCGCACCACTGCACTCCAGCCTGGGCAAAAGAGCAAGACTCCGTCTCAAAAAATATGTATAAATAAAATAAAATAAAAATAAATAAAAAATAAAAGAGCCCTGTTAAAATACACCTCCCATATTGCTATACGGCAATGATTTAAAATGAAAATTCGGCCAGGTGCCTTGGCTCACACCTCTAATCACAGCACTTTAGGAGGCCAAGGCGGGCGGATCACCTGAGGTCGGGAGTTCGAGACCAGCCTGACCAACATGGAGAAACCCCGTCTCTACTAAAAATATAAAAAATTAGCCGGGTGTGGTGGTGCATGCCTGTAATCCCAGCTACTTGGGAGGCTGAGGCAGGAGAATCACTTGAACCCAGGAGGCGGAGGTTGTGGTGAGCCAAAATTGCGCCATTGCACTCCAGCCTGGGCAACAAGAGCGAAACATGGTCTTAAAAAATAAATAAATAAATAAAATGAAAATTCATAAAATTATAGTATTTTATTTAATTTATTTATTTATTTTTTATTTTTTTTGAGATGGAGTCTCGCTCTGTCGCCCAGGCTGGAGTGCAGTGGCATGATCTAGGCTCACTGCAAACTCCTCCTCCCAGGTTCACACCATTCTCCTGCCTCAGCCTCCAGAGTAGCTGGGACTACAGGCACCTGCCACCACGCCCAGCTAATTTTTTGTATTTTTAGTAGAGATGAGGTTTCACCGTGTTAGCCAGGATGGTCTCGATCTCCTGACCTTGTGATCCACCCACCTCGGCCTCCCAAAGTGCTGGGATTACAGGCATGAGCCACCACACCGGGCCTATTTATTTATTTTGAGACAGGTTCTTGCTACGTCATCCAGGTTGGAGTGCAGTGGCACCATCACGGCTCACTGCCGCCTTGACCTCTTGGGCTAGAAGGATCCTCCTGCTTCAGCCTCCCCAGTAGCTGGGACTACAGGTGCATGCCAGAGTGCCCAGCTAATTTTTCATCTAGTTTTTCTAGAGAGGGGTATCGTTTTGTTGCTCAGGCTGGTCCTGAACTTGTGCTGACACAAACTTGCAAAGTGCAGTGGGGGAAAGGGTATTTCTGTGTCTTTTGACAGAAATGGACAGAAGTAGATACAAGAGAGAAAAATACCCTGGCTTAAACAAGATAGAGGTTATAATTTCCTCTCTCCTAAGCCCTGCATGGCACTAATATCAAATATGATACCTGAGATTCAGCAAGCTACGTCGGGATAATATGGCTTTTTTATTTATTAGAGATTTTCTTGTACGCATTAAATGTGTACTGATCGGTATGACTGGCACAAACTGTACCAGATGGATGGCAAACTTTTGCTGATCTCCAAGTTGCCTTTCCTATTCTTAATTATTAAAGATTAATTTTGGGCCAGGTGCAGCGTCTCACTCCTGTCATCCCAGCACTTTGGGAGGCCGAGGCAGGTGGATCATCTGAGGTCAGGAGTTCCAGACCAGCCTGACCAACATGGTGACACTCACCTCTACTAGAAATACAATTAGCCCAGCGTGGTATTGTGTGCCTATAGTCCCACTTGGGCGCACTGAGGCTGAAGCAGGAGAATTGGGAGGCTGAGGCAGGAGAATTGCTTCAACCCAGAATGAGACTCCGTTTCGAAAAAAAACTTTTTTTTTTTCCTGCAGAACACTCAGAGAGAATTGTCAATACCTGTCCTTGGAGAACATAATTTAAAACTTGTTTTCTTTTTTTGAGATGGAGTTTCACTCTTGTTGCCCAGTGCAATGGTGCGATCTCGGCTCACTGCAACCTCCACCTCCCGAGTTCAAGTGATTCTCCTGCCTCAGCCTCCCAAGTAGTTGGGATTACAGGTGTGCGCCACCACACCCGGCTAATTTTTTGTATTTTTAGCAGAGACGGGGTTTCACCATGTTGGCCAGGCTGGTCTCGAACTCCTGACCTCTGGTGATCTACCCGCTTCGGCCTCCCAAAGAGCTGGGATTACAGGCGTGAGCCACTGCTCCTGGCAAAAGATCAAAATTTTAATAGAAACTTGAAAATGTTGCCAATTGAAAAAAAGAAAAGGAAAAAAAAAAAAGGATCCGCCCATTAGCCGAGTGAGGGCAGGTGACCGGGGAGGATCGACCTTTGCCCGGGCTGCCTTCTCTTGTGAACACCAAGGCGTTTGCAGGAAAATGAAGAGCTGCTGGGCAAAACCTGGCATTCCTGGGCCTTCTGGGTCTTCCGGAAAAATGATTTCAACCTAAAATTTTCTGTTAAGAAAGAGGCCAGGTTGGGCCGGGCGCGGTGGCTCACGCCTGTAAATCCCAGCACTTTGGGAAGCCGAGGCGGGTGGATCACCTGAGGTCAGGAGTTCGAAAAGAGCCTGACCAACACGGTGACACCCCCTCTCTACTAAAAATAAAAATTAGCCGGGCTGAGGCAGGAGAATCGCTTGAACCCGGGAGGCAGAGTTTGCAGTGAGCGGAGATCGTGCCACTGCACTCCAGCCTGGGCGACACAGCGAGATTCCGTCTCAAAAAAAAAAAAAGAAAGAAAAAAGAAAGAAAGGAGCCAGGCAAGACAGGTTTCCTAACACGCGAGCCCTCGGGGACCACGTGGGGGCGCCGGCGCCCGCGGACCGGACCCCGCACCAAGGCTGCGCTCGCTTCCCAGGCCCCGCTCACCGCAGCAGGTCCGGGCAGAAGAGGTGGCGGTACGCGGGGAGACAGTCGTCCCCCTCCACGTCGGGCGGCGGCTGGGCCATGGCGCTCCCGTCGGGGACTGCGGGGACAACGGGCGGGAGCGGCCTCGGCCTCCAGGACCCGGCGCGCAGCTGCGAACTCGCCTGGAACCGGGAGCCCCGCCCCACTCCCCGGACGCCCCGCCCCTGCCCTGATTGCTTCCCGGAGGCCCCGCCCCTCCCCCGAATTCTCCCCGGAGGCCCCGCCCCCGCCCGCGGCCTGCTGGGACTGGAAGTCGGCGCGCGAGGCGCAGGCGCATTGCGGGGCCGGGGGCGCGGTTCCCGCGGCAGAAGCTCGGCGGTCTGCGGGTCTCCTCCCCGAGTCTTTTTCACAGGTATTCGGCGTCAGCGCCGCGTTCAGAGCCTCCAGGACTTGTGGGATACCCCTGGCTCCTGGGTCCAGGCCAGGCTCGCAGCCTCTGGGCTCCCCGTTCGCCTCCCCGTAAACACCATGGGGAGGGCCGGGGCCCAGGGAAGCGCGGCCAGCCCCGCGCCGCTTCCCAAAATGACCCGTTTTGAGGCCAATAAAGAAGGGTCCGGGGCCGGGCGCGGTGGCTCACGCCTGTAATCCCAACACTTTGGGAGGCCGAGGCGGGCGGATCACGAGGTCAGGAGTTCGAGACCATCCTGGACAACATGGCGAAACCCCCTCTTTACTAAAAATACAAAAATTAGCCGGGCATTGTGGCGGGTGCCTGTAGTTCCATCTACTCGGGAGGCTGAGGCAGGAGAATCGCTTGAACCCGGGAGGCGGAGGTTGCAGTGAGCCGAGATCGCGCCACTGCACTCTATCCTGGGCGACAGAGCGACACTCCGTTTCAAAAACAAAAACAAAAAAAAAAGGGTCCGTTACTTCTGTTCCGCGTGGGGGCCCGGGCGGGGCTATGCCGCGAACCCAGGACGGGGCGCCCCGCCCGCACCACTGTTGGAAGACGGGGGTCCGCGACGGCCACGGGGGAAAAACACGCAGGGCCGCTCCTGAGCTGAACACACCCGCGGGCCAGCGGCTTCAGGGGCGTGACAGAGCCGCCAGCGCTACAGTAATGGCTGCCAGGCCCTTTCTGCGCTGGTTGGCCTCAGCCCGCCGGCCCCTCTCTGCCCCTTCCCCGGGAAGGCAGCTTCTCCTTTGGCGG